>NC_000002.12:53220655-53523685 GCF_000001405.40 Homo sapiens
ATAAAGAGGAAGAAGGGGGTAGGTGGTAAACGGGTCTCAGAGAAGCTGATCCAGTTTCTGCACTTGCTGCAGAGCCTTGCAGTCCTTGCCAGGAGGAGTTCCTGGCCTTGTGCCTTTCAGAAGTCCCAAAAGGCATCAAGGAGGTGCGTAAGCAGCTACACCTCAGTGACAGTTGCAGACCCCATCTAAGAGACATGTCATTAGTACTGTCCTTTTGTCTTCCTCCTCTCTGCAGCTGGGGGAGTGAGGATGGGTTCCTATCTTTATTTTTCATATTTATTTGTGTTGGATTTTCCTGGTCCAACAAGAAGAGATCCTACAGCGAGGGAAGATAATAAGTGGATAGGTCTCCCACTTTTTCAAATCAATATATCTCTTTTAATTGCCACAATAAAGAGCAGTTTTTAAAAATAACTTCCCCTCCTCCTCCTTCTTCTTCTTCCTCTTCTTCTTTTTCATACTACATTATTTCAGCAATACTCATCTCTTCCGCCTCTGCCTTCTTTCCTTAACCACTAAGGCTACAAGGAGACACTCCTCCTTCCAATGTATCTTCCTCTTTCCCAGAAGTGGCATCTTCTCTATTTTGCCAATTCTTGTCTTGATCACTTTTCAAGCTTCTTTTTACTGACTCCTCATTAGCCAGTGCCCCGACCCACAAGACCTTACACATATTCTTGATATTTCCACTCAAGGTACAGCCCTCTTGTTCTGGGGTTAACACTGTATGATCTCTGTGTTCCACCACCTATTATACTCTCTGTATTTAACTCTTTTTCACACAACCTCCCCCTGACTCTGCTTGGGTGTGGGCTCCAAAGATGACTCTGCTTGTTTATAGTGTTTATTTCCCTTGCTCACTGTAAATTAAAGCAATTTCTCCTAGTTATAATACAACCAAAGGCCAAGGTGTTCTGATTGAATATTTCTGTTGATATATGATTCTTAGGAATGTGGAGGTAGCTTAGTAGATAGGGATCTATCATTATTAAACAGAAACCCAGAAGTATAACATAAATTAAAATTAAACTTTGAATAACTTTCAGATGGCCTTTAATTACAGAATGAAAACATACCTGCCTAAATCTTCTGTTGAATGATATGAAAAATGAGAGCTCTGTTTTTGAATTATGTCATTTCTGGATACCTGAATTGGGTGTGCCCTTGATTTGTGACCTCACTATTCTTCCTGATTGGTACCAGAACCACATATTGACACCTATCTTTGAAAAATGAAAGCTGCCTTTTTGAATTATCTCATTTCTGGATACCAGAATTGGGTGTTCCTTTGATTTCTGACCTCACCGTTCTTCCTGATTGGTACCAGAACCACATACTGACATCTATCACAAGCTGTTACTCTTTTCCTCTTTTGAACGTGAAGCACAGTATTTTAATTGCACCACATCTTAATTAATTTTTTAGGGTCGCCAATTGTCTCTGCACAAACTATTTCCATGGCCTTTCTATTTCCTTGCTAGAAGTTCTGACTGGTGTAGACAGGACAATAGCTAGCTCATACCCCCTTCTGTAATTCGGACATGATATAGAGGCACTTTAGTTATTCTTCACAGTAAAATTATTTATGTTGAGAGTACCTTTTCTCCGGCATCTCCATAATTCTACATTTTTGGCCATGGATAACAGACAAGCCTCACACCAAATTCTGTATTAGAAATGATTATTAGGTGTCTATTGTATGAAAGGCAGAACACAACCAAGAGGTACAATGAAGATTACATTGTTATTCTCTTCTAGGAGATTCAAGTCATTCTCTTACAGATAGAGGGAAAGAGAGACAGAGAGAGATTACGTATGTATACATATATGTATAAGGTACATTGGGAGTTTGGGAAAGAGAAAAATATCTTATGATAGTGAAGATTCTGGAAAAACCTTGTAAAAATAGTGGTCTTTCAGTCTTTCAGTAGAAAGCCTTTAGATGTAAGAAGAGCAGAGGGAGCTCATCTAATAAAACAGAGAGTACACTTAAAGAAAGGGCTTGGAAAGGGAAAAGTTTGTGTTTGGTATGGCAAATTGCAGTAGTTTCATTTGGTTGAAACAGAACCAATAAAATAAAATAATAAATAATATTATTAAGGTAAAATTAACATTTTCAAATAACAGAAAAAACATTTGACTCTTGTTATAGAAACAATGTGAGCTTATTCCAAGTTTTGAGCAGATGAGTGTATCAGAGTTTCCCAAAGATTAATCAAATAGCAGATTGCAAAACTGACTTGAACAGGGAGAAACTGGAGTCACTGAAACAAGTTAGAGGCAATTCTAATTGCTCAGACAAGAATAAAATATACCACTGTATATAAACACAGAACATAACAACCAATCTTTATGCAAGTATATCTCTTTTTGATAGGAGAAATATTTGATGGGAAAGCTTTGTGTTCCATGTTCACAGTATGTAAAAAAGAAAAAGAAAGAAAGCTTTATGGAATATATGTTATTTAGGCATTTATAAGAAAGAAAATTTATTTCTGACTCAGTCATAAAACCCGAGACTTTTGATTTGCCCAAATCCACTCATCTGCTCAGTCATCTATAGAATAAATAATACATTCTGCATCACGCCAAAGCATTCTGACACACTGAATTCTCATTTAGAAATCTTAATTTAGCATCTCCAGTAAGGAAACTACAACTAAAAACTATTCTAAAATTCTCTCTTTCTCCCTTCGTCCCTCACTTATTTCAGCTAATTGTATCTTTTTCCCCACCAAAACCAATTTCAAGATGTTAAAATTGCCATATAATTATATTTTATCTTATGCAAGGTTGGTCACTGACAAATCTAAGCTAATCCAGGATTTTTTTTAATAAAAACTCCAAATAGGGTCACTTAGGTTGAATAGAGTGATTTTATCCTTTCATCAAATCAAATATGAGGAATCCACTTTTGCTAAAATTACCTCTGTGGGTCTTTGCCTATAGTGTGATGAAGGTCACTGAGTTGATTAAATAGTTTGTGGCAATAATGGGGTCTTCTGCAGATGCAATCTGAAATGATAAAAAAATTGAGAGCAAAAAGGGGCTTAAATGGTTCAATGGAGATAATATACCTGAAAAAATCTAGCCCCTTTGTTGAATAATCATTGTTCCAAGCAGAAGGGAGTCTGTGAGAATAGAAAGACTAGATTTTTTTCTCCCTTTGAAACTATGAGAGAATATGAGAAAGAAGATTAAAAATGAGAGACAAAAGAGGAAAGTAAGACAGAGAGGAAGTCTAAGTGTGGAAACCTAAGTCACTGGAAGAATTAGGAAGTTTCATCCATGGGGCGTATGGGACAGACATGCATTTTTCTGGAACACAGAGGAAAGGACAAGATGATTGATATTCATTTATCACCCTACCAGGCCTTACCTTGCTGGGTCTTGTATGTAGGTCTTGCCCACTAATTAATCTGTGAGTTACCTGAAGGCAGGAGTGCTTCATTCATTTTCTTTGTATCTCCAGCAACATGCATAGGGCCATGCTTTGGAGATGCTTAATATGACATATATGACGACTAAGAGTGGTCTTAGAAGTTTCCTTTTCATCCTATGACAATTGAGTTCCTTGAGGGCAAAGACTACCTCTTGTTCACCATTATATCCCCCAAAACCTAAAGCATAATAGACTGATAAGAAGTATTTGTCACATCCTATAGGTAGGTATATTTGGATAATTAAATGCAAACAAATGAATGAAAAGAAATTTACAATATCCACGGTCAACTCATCCATACCTATTCATTCAGTGTTTGCTAGATAGGCAGCACTGTGCTAGCTGAATATGTTGAAGAATACTACTGCTAGGATTCTCTATTTGATTTTATATCATTTAACTAAAGAAGTCATAATTAGTGTATTTAAAATGATTAAGTATTTAAAAAAAAAATTCACCTGGGGTAGTGAAGTAAAAAGTATCTCAAATAGTTCTGCTATTTGAGTTAGTCTCTAAAATAATGATTCCTGTAAGGGGACTTAAACGTTTAAGTTTTTGTTTTTTTTTTTAGTCACTAAGTAAAGTCCTGGGATAGCAATGGAAGATGAGACAGCTCTAGAAACAATGAAAAGTGGAAAGGAAATAGTAAAGAATCACACACTACTCAAACAGGCACACAAACTTGCATGCACATGAACACAAACACACATATACACAAAACGCAGCTCTTTTCTCAGACAAGGTAATGTCCTTCCATGAATCACAGCATATAATCTCTTCTAATTTCTATGATTATGATATTGCAAGCATCCTGATAATTTTTTACTGTGACTGGCAGAAAACAGTCTCTAAAGATCCCCTTTATGATTACACATTGTAAAAATGATCTCTATAATGCCATGTGCATGCAAGAGAGGTGAAGCAACTTTTTGCATTAACAAAAGCTTACTTTATACACAATTAACCTGCTCACCAAATCAAAATGCTACTAATCCCGACCCCAGTGCCTATGGCACCATGAAATTATTTGTACAAAAGACTAAAAATTCAAATTTACTAACCAGAAATTTTAGGTGGGATATTTTGCATTAAATAGAAGAGCTTCCATAGCGCCTTATGCTTAAAACAGGTCCTTGATGACATACATGTGTACAACTTCATTAACCCACAAATGTCTTTTGTGGAGCAGAACATACTAGGTATGAATGATGCATGCACAAAGTATTAAATAATCACTGCAGCTGAATCCAAAACAGTAGCTCAGAGAGAACCAGCTGTTCTGTCTCTTTAAAGAAAAAAAAAAAAAATGAAGCAAAACAAAAAATTTTTAAACAAATTTTTTGAAAAGAAATGAGAGACTCAGAGCTTCTATTATGGGGATTTTGTGATACTGTCATGTTTTAAGAAATCAGTGCCATTCCAAAGTTTATTACTTTTAAAAAACAGTAATGACAGAGAAGGAAAATGAGCAGAGAAGAGGACTTTTTTTTATTTCCCAGCCACATCTTATTAAATGAGTTTAAAATAGGTCTCTAATGACTACCACTGCAATGATGGTACCTAAAGGAAGTAAGGTATTATGAAAAAACACTCTATTGGGAAAAGATATATGTGGGTTTCGTGTTAGGTCATCATAATATTATTTTGGTCAGTTCAACTTAGCAAACATTTTGGGGGCTATCACTTTTCTCTACTATACAGTGGGAGTTGAACCAGATTGTTTCTATGGTCATTCCAACTTCGACATCAATTGCTAGGGTACCAGTTACCTAAGTCAAACACACTCAAGTCCCTGGACAAGAAGCACTCACTTGCTTCACTGGCTCAAGACTTCCTAAGAAGGCCTCACCATGCTTGAGTTGCCACCCCTAACTAGGCCAACAACAGAGTAAAGAAAGCAGCAGTTACAATTTACATGTACATAGGGAATGTTGCTCCTTCACTAGCCTTCACTTTAAACAGCAAGTTATTAACCTTCTTCATACACCAGGTTTTTACTTAAGAATATTCTCCTTGATGGGTAACTTTCCTAGCCAAGCTAAAATTACAGTCTCTAGGATGAAAGTTGTATCCCCTTTTCTCCTTTCTTCTTAGCACTTATCACCCTGTATTCAATCTGATTTATTGTCGAGAAGAATATGAGTTCATAGAGGAGCAGAATTGAGGTCAAGAATTTTTGCCTCTATTTTTTCACTGCTGTATCCTCAGTATCTAAAACAAAGCTTGAGCCAGGTGCGGTACCTTATGCCCGTAATTACAGCACTTTGGGAGGCCGAAGTGAGTGGATCACCTGAGGTCAGGGGTTGGAGACCAGCCTGGGGTGAAATCCCATCTCTACTAAAAATACGAAAATTAGCCAGGAGTGGTGGCAGGCACCTGTAATCCCAACTACTTGGGAGGCTGAGGCCCAAGAATGACTGAAACCTGGGAGGTGGAGGTTGCAGTGAGGCAAGATTGCGTCACTGCATTGGTGACAGAGAAAGACTCCATTTAAAAAAATAAATTAATTAAAATAAAATAAAGCTTGGCACATAGTAGATGTTCAATAAATATTTTTAGAATTTAGATTCTATATTTTGCTGCTAGAACAATTGAGAACTAAATTCTCAGTTAATACCACTAAGATTTCACTCCAAAGTCTTCTTTCCAATTGTATATCTTCAGTGTTTTACCTGCTATATGGATTATAAAAGAACTTCTAAAAATCTGACTTTAAATCAGGATACTTCTAGTTTGCAACATTACATATATTTTCAAGCATATTACAAATCAGCACATACAACACCCAATGGCTCCTTTACAATCTACCTAAAAATTTAAATCAAAATTTAAAACTCAGACATGTAAAAAGTGTGTTAAAATACTTCATACTTATCACTGCTCAATATACTTGTACAACTGAGACTAAACAAGTTTGTTATAGATATTTCCTCTTATATTGATCCATCAATAGCATCAACTATAGTTGAAGAGCCCTAAAATCTGCTTTGGATGACAATCAATTAGAAATGTTTCAAAATCATGATGATGTTACAACATTGTGGTTTACCTTGAAAGATAAAAGAAATTAGATACAGAAGGAAACTGAGGGAGTCAAATGTTTCAAAGATGGTTTCAAAATCTCCTCAGGTAAGGAGTGCTGGGCAAGGCCACTTAAGGGATGATAGGGAGGGTAAAGGCTGGATATGTGTGGGAAGGGTTTTGAACAAAGACAGCAGAAAATTCATTAGACAGTTAAGGAGATGAGTGACAGTCACTCTAGAGCCATGCCAAGAGCTTTGCAGTGGGCCAACTCAGAATTATTGTATTACTCACACACATACAACCTTCAGAGGTCTTTCCTTCCAACCACTTTATCTATTTCACAAACAAACAACAAACATTAAGGAAAAGAAATTAGTTACATCTGGACATCAAGACTAAGAGTCAGAGTTCTGAGAATTCATTTACGAGCTTCACAACTTGGTAGAACATTGAAAATACATACCTGTTTCACTTTAACAGAAAATTCAGACAAATGTGGACTTTCACACCTTATTTCTGAATATAGAAAGGAAATCTACTAAATGATAAATGAGAATATGGGGGAAAAAATACCCAACTCCCCAAAAAGATCTCTGATGTATTATCGCTGATGCGGGGCTTTAAGGATCAGATATATTATCTTTTAAAAGTCCATCTAGAAAAGTTTCTTTGCTTGCAAAATTAATGTTTGGATGATAAAAAGTAAATCAACCAACTAAATTTAGTCCTTTTGACAGAAAAGAAATGAAAGCACAGACCCTCATCTTTGGCATTTGTGAAAATGAAGAGATTGCAATCTTAAATTTATAATGTAGAATCTGTAAAGGTTCTACCTATTCTCAGGCTTTGTGGATTGACTATATACAGCAATTATTTTCAAGAACAGCAGCAGGAAGTAAAAAGAGGAGATGGGAAGCAAGGTTCTGCATTTTAAGCAGCTTTTTTAAACAGGAGAAAATCTTACACAAACTGTGAGCATAAAGAGACTCAATGAAGGAAATAGACAACATGATGGAAAACCAGGGAGAATTTTAAATGTCACTGCAAATGACAGCAGCCACAAGGGGCCCAAGAGCACCAGTGGGGTAAACAGGAGCTCCCCCCACCCGTCCACCCTTCTCTACTCACATTCATTAATGGTGATCCTCCCTGAAGCTGTAGGCAGATGCTGCTGCCTGGTTGCTTCCCCAGGGAGCAATCCCAGATGAAAACTCTAGTCCTTCCAGTAAAACTGACTTAACAATCTTAATTCCAGAGAAAATGCTTTTCGACATTCATGTGCCAAAATGCCCAAGTAAAAGAGGCTGATGGTATGATGAACACACAAGCTTTCATAAGCAATAGTCAGAATGGAGAGATAGGATTCTGGGTGGGTGGGGGTGTTCATAATGACTAAAAAGTCATTACGTAGGAGGGACAATATTCTTGGGTGTTTGGGTGTTATCTACACTGATCTTGGTGCTTTAAATAAGTAAATCTGGACAACCTCTGTCACACCACAGGGACCTCTCCAAAGCCTGAATGATCTCCTGCATTCCTGTTCTACCCTCCCATCTCCATATAACCTTTAAATGGCCTGATTCCCAGATGCTCCTTTGCTCTATCCCTGGCCCTCTGATCCCTCAGCTATATGCCTCACATATTGCCCAGCACTGCCTCATTGTCACGATCCAATTGTACTCAATTTTCTAGTTTATTGACTCAGCTGATCCCATTCAAATACCATTTTTTATACCCTCTCGGTTTCGATGTCCCTTAAGCTCCAGATAAAGAATAGTCTCACTGGATCAACTTGGACCAGGATGTTTCCCCAGCTTTCCAGTGAGGGCAAGGGGAACAGACAGGAGCACCCATCTGCTAAGTAGTGAATGCTTTATATTTATCTAAATATTGTTGCAGTCATTTACAGAATCCCTGGAACATGCCCCTGATTCCTTGAGGAATTTAACATTTTCTTCACTGTAATTCTAACACCACTCCTTTCATAATTTTTGGTGACTTCAGTATTGACTAGATAACTATGCAATAATACTCTGGTTCCACCATCCTTGAATTTCTCTGCCCCAATGGCCTTGTCCTTGACCTAAACTGTAGCACCTACTCTCATGATCAAATCTTGGCATTACCTTCAGATTCAAAGGAAGTAAATGCATGTATTAACTTGTAATTAAAAGTAAATTTTAAAAAAATAATATTAGCAATCATGATAAGGTTGGTAAGTCCTGGTTAGTGTGTAAGGTTTGACTGGGGCCTAGATGATGGAAAGGACTCAATTAATAACTGATGAGTGAATAAATAAATGGATCTTTCATGAAAGGCTAAGACATAATGAGTTTCTCCCCAGTGATAACCATTAGGGAGCAAAGCTGTTCCCTCTTACATTTCTACTTCTACAGTATCTTCAGATGTCTTGATTAAGGTCATTTTTTTCATTTTTCTTTTAGCTGTTTTTGTAGCATGGCAGATTCAAAAAACAATCTTTTGGGACCCCTAGGTCTTCTAAATATCATTCATAATGCATTTCTCTCTTTTGGCTCAACATTCACACTGTCCATTTTTCCCTGTTTTGTTGCACATCTGAAGCCCACATTCACATTATGGCATTGTCTTAGTCTGTTCAGATTGCTGTAATAGAACACTATAGATTGGGTGGGTTGTAAACAACAGAAACTTATTTCTTACAAATCTGAGGGCTGGACAATCCAATACCAAAGTGCTAGCAGAGTCAGCGTCTGATGAGGGCCCACTTCCTGGTTTATAGTCTGCTGTCTTTTCTGGGTCCTCACATGGTGGAAAGGAGAAAGGAGCTCTCTGAGACCTCTTCTATAACAGCACAAATGCTATTCATGAGGACTCTAATGAACTAATCACCTCTCAGAGGCCCCACCTCCAAATACCATCACAGTGGGGATTAGGTTTCAACATATGAATTTTGGGAAGACACAAACATTCAATCTGTAGCAGGCTATTTGTGCTTCAGTCAGATTCACATAATAACACATCCATAGACAATATCAAAAATCATCCCAATCATGCTATTCAACAATGAAAATCCAACATATCCAAGTAGATAAGGAGGCAGTGAGGGGATACTGTGATGCAGAGGTTGCTTGAGTATTAGAGCATTTCCATCTATGTCTACAAGTATAATGACTTCAAGTCCATTTAAATATACATAAACTGCAAAATCTAGGTCAATCTTCTGATAACCAGATCTTGTATGACAAACTGACAGTATTTCAGATTGCTAGGGTGCTGGATGGATTGAAAAGGGACCATTGATAATGTTAATTAGGACTGTAGAGAAGTCTAACTAGTATAGAATAAAATGCACATAATCTACCTGATATGGCTAGGCTCTGTGTCCCCACCCAAATCTCACCTTGAATTGTAATCCCCAGAATCTCTACATATCAAGGGCAGGACCAGGTGGAAGTAATTGAATCATGGGGACAATTTACCCCATGCTGTTCTCCTAATAATGAGTGAGTCTCATGAGATCTGATGGTTTTTTAAGTGTCTGGCATTTCCCCTGCTTGCACCCATTCTCTGACACCCTGTGAAGAGTTGCCTTCCAGCATGATTATAAGTTTCCTGAGGCCTCTCCAGCCATGCAGAACTGTAAGTCAATTAAACTTCTTTCCTTTATAAATTGCCCAGTCTCAGGTATTTCTTTATAGCAGCTTGAGAACGGACTAAACACAACCTAAACTGTGTGGATCTTTTTCCAAAACATCCCACACCATCTATTATTCAATTATGAGTAATAGTGGTAAATGAGTAAACATTAAATCTTAGGCATTGTTCTATAGTAACTTGTCTCTGTTACCAGGCAAGCACTTCAAGCTATTTTGTTACTCTATGATGATAAAACAAATAATATGGTAATTGATACTATTCTTTATCTATCTTACTTCTCCTGAGAAGTATAATAGAAATAATATTCTTCGTACTAAAGGTATTTATTCAAACACTGCTGTTATGAAGTTAACGCCATTTTTCTTGACAAAATCCTTGATTTGGAAGGTGAAAAGTGACACAAATATTTAGTGTGATTATTTATACACAATTCCAATCATCCTAAAACATATTTCTGTGAAAACCAGCAGCAAGAAGCGTCACATTGGTAGCTTCAAGATGACAATATTCAACACTCATTGTTTTACTACATCTAATGTTAGACATGAATCATTTGAAAGCCTGATTAAAACTATAAATAGAAAGCAGCTACTTAGTATTTTAATCAAAATAACCTCTTAAATGTTACCTTATAGCCTCTGAAATAAAAAGGCAACTAATAAGAAAAAAAGCAATCTTGTGAGGATGACTTATTAAAACCAAAACAAACCACTTGGCCTCAATTCTGCCCAAAAACTGTTAACCCCTTAAACAGTGCTTCTGCTAATGTGTTTCCATTACAATTGTAAATTCAAGAATACTGAAGTGTCGTCACCCTCTCTCTCCCTCAGACTGTGAGAACATTTACAAGTTTTTGTCAATTTGTTGTTGCACCAAACGTCATACAGTCAATACATTTTTCTCCTAAATGTATATGCTCAAAAATATTCATGATATAGTCCCAAGCACTCCATTAGCCTATGGGGCTAGATAACGGGGGTGGTGATGTGCTATTTACAGACCACAGGTCACTATGACAGAAAACTTCCTTAAAGTAACCAGAGATATATCTTCATTTCCTTTAATGTTAAAAATACAAGGATGCAGAATAATTCTTCACCATGCCTTTTTTGATTTGATAAGTAGCAACAGAATTAGAGGAATGATATTGACCAAAGGCCAAATGTAAGAAACTTAAAGGATTCAAGTGAACCAGTTACCTAGGGATAGATGGACATCAACACCTTTCATCATAAGCCCAAATCCAATCATACTGTTACCTTCATCCACAGTGTAGTACTGATGGTTTATATTTCAAAATATCTGCTTTCTGATCTTTATAATATTTAGGACGAACCACAAACCACTCTGCATCCTCTAACAGGAAGTTCACACTCTCTTGTTCTACATTTGGTTTGTGTGATTCCCACCTTCTGAAATATCCTGTACCTACACCCTTATAATAAAATCTTAACTTCCTTAAAGTTTGGTTTAATTCTTCCTTCTTTTGTGACCGAGAAACCATAAAATGTAGAACAATAAGGTAATTCTAGAACCATCCGTGACCCAACTCCTATTTTAACAGATAAGGACTCGGGAGTTTCAGAAAGATTACATGATTTAAGCCTGAGTGGCAGGAGTAGTCTGGATCCCAGGTTCACATCTTCCTAACTCCCAGTCCTTAGCACCCTAAGATTTCTCCAGCTTTTTTTCTCTGATATCCTTCAGTCTTGAATGTCCACTGCACTTACTTGGTCATCACTAGGTACTGCCAGTGGCCTCTCATCCTGTGGTCATGTGTATGTGCCCAGTATCTCCACCTGGACCCTAAGGTTTTCCCCAGAGCATCCAGCACATCTAGCAGCCCTCATTAAACACTTTTCCTACCTTCCCACAATAGTTAAAACAATCAACGTCCTTACTCTTGCACCAATTTGATAAAAGCCATGAATTCAACGGAAATTATATCAGCAACCTGCAAGATGAAACTTATTTTATTTTCTCTTGGTCTTAAAGCTCTAAAATATAGAAAATTTTTTTAAAAGTTGTATAGAAAGTCCCTGTGAATGATCCATCTTTTGTGCCAAAAATTTAAAAAATTTTTATTATCATTCTTTCTTCAAGTTGTCCAGCCCCATTATAAGTGACCACAACTCCCCAAAACAGGCAACCTTAAAACATTCATGCTATTCACACACTTCAAAGGCAGCAAACAGTAAGCATTCCCAAGACATGTCTTCAGTGGACACTGCATTCTAGGTGGCCTAAGTATATTTTGAAATGTACTGGGAGATTATTTGAGAACACCTAACTATAGATAGACCTATATACAGGTAAGCATGTACCTAAAAATATGAATATAAATGTAAATATAAACTATACATGTATACTCATTTATGTACCCAAACTGCCTGTCTTTGTTCCAGAGTAGGTGTCAGTACATTTATCTGTAAAAGAAGAGACAGTAAATGTTTTAGGTTTTCTGGGCCACATGGTCTCTGTCACAACTACATAAAAGTATCCATAGCCCATATGTAAATGAATACATATGGCTGTGGTCCAATAAAACTTTATTTAAAAAAAGCAGATTTGGCCCCGGCTATAATTTGTTCACCCTTGTTCTTGACTAGCGTTTTTTAAAATGCAGATTGTTCCACATTGTCTGCTACAAAATAAGTTTTGTGAAATACAAAAAGCATTTTCGAAAGCAAAATAGAATAAAACCAGAAAATTATACTATATAGCACATTGCTGCAGTATTATTAAACTTTCTAGCTTTTCTATATGCATAGGTTTGTCTACTGGGTCTTGATGTAAAACAAATTTATTCCTATGAGTCATGGTAGTCAAAAAAGTTTGAAAGTCACTATTCTAGTCACAGTATAGTACCTGTTCATGGAAAATAAACCCTTGGCTCAGCCAATAATTTAAAGCAAGAAATTTAACACTTGCAAAAATGATCCTCTTTACACTGTTTTGTGCATGGAACAAAGATCCTATGTAGCTTCCAGGACAGTAAACACCCAAAGCCAGGGAACCCAATCAAAGGGAACAAAAAAATTTGGAGTCAGGTTGTTAAACTGAGTGATGTGAAGAACAAAGTGACATGCCATGTGGCACAGAAAATATGGGCTGTTCATTAAGCATTTATCATGATTTCCTAGGAAGTTCCCAGACTTCTAGTGTGCTGATGTTGCAGAATCTGGCAACTCTGACCCTTCAGTTTCTCTGGCTCAGATAGCAGGAAGAAGACTTCTGGGTGCTCAGGTGTATTTTCCTCTACCTCCTAAATGCATGTCTCTGCCATTGTCAGCTGTCTATCTCTGCAGGCCCAGGAGATCTTGTCTCCAATTGAAGTAACAGGTGCCACCCTCGCTGCCACAGCAACCACCTGTTCCTAGAGTAATATCCCACATGCAGAGGGTTTGAGCAAAAAGTAGAACAATTAAGATCTTGTGTGGCAGGTGGCCATTGCCACCTGCTCTTGTCTCCACTGTTCCCGCCAGTCAAAGCCACCTCAAGAAGCTTTTCAACAGAGTATTTCCCTACCCTTGTGCCAGATACTTGAAACTCTCACAGATTCATTCCTCTCCATTCCCACCTCCCATCCTACCACACACCTGAAGTTTCAGGAATCCCTGGGTCCCAAGTGTCAGGCAGATTTATCCTCCCTATACACTAAGTAGAGGCTATTTCCTTGTGAACTAACTTTCTCCATCTCCCAAACACATCTAATCTTTCCCTTTTTCTAACAACTGAGTTTCTGCCCTTTATTTTCGTGAGCTAGGATAAAGTATTCGCTGTATCATTATTGTCAAAAAGCTTCTTGATCTTAGGCTCTTGCTGAAAATTCCTTTTAAGGTAAGAATCTTCATCATAAGGGCTGTTAAGGAGCTTTCCCTTTTCTCCAGGAAGCTTTGCAGGGCGCATATTGTTGGCTTTGCTTCCTCCTCTAGCAATGACCACCTGGTGTTGCAACACTGCTGTCTCTCCAGTGTAATTTGAATCCTCTGTCCTGCATCTTCACATTTTGCTTCTTTCTGTGAATTCTCAGGCATTTTCTGAAGCTCTATTTATCCTGTACCTCTTTGTCAAAAAAACTGTTTGGCATTCAAGCTGAAAATTTTATTATTGTATGGAGACTCACTAAGACATTTCCAGAGTCACATTCAAACCCAAAATCAGCCAGCTCCAAATCAGGTCCATTACGCTAATACTGAAGACAAATGGATATAGGAGTAACCACCACTATTAATTTCAAGCAGTATTTATTATACAACTAACTTGCTTAAAGAGGGCACAAACAACCACCACGAATACTATTCTCTTGAAAATCACAACCAAAGACAGATAAACCATAAAATGCATTCAGGAAATATTAAAAAATGCTTAAGGCAAAATATACAAATATAATAGTTGAATAAATTCATACTAGACAGATGAACGTTTTATTCTTATTGTTACCCTTATGCCCTGAGTTCCTACAATTATCCAAGAAAAGCCAGAAGACAAAGTTTTTTTAATTAATAAGCAGCAAATATCAAACTTTTCTTCAGAAATTATCATGAACCAGAAGTTAAGATCTCTCCAACTCATTTCTATCTGATATAAAATATAGAGACAAGTTAGAATAATTTAGGGTTTCTATAGAGTGTTATTTCATTTGTCCTGAAACCACGCAAATAGCCTAGTGGTACAAATGGGCAGAAGCAAATAGTCTTGGAAATGTCCCACAGGGTACAAAACGGGCTTCCCCACGGAGATAAACGGGCAATAGATCAAGATGCAAAGCTTTGCTAAAACTGCTTATAGATTACTATCTGCTTCTTGTTCCTCACATCTTGTTTAGTGTCTAGACTATGCTAACTCCTGACAATGGCTGGCCTTAACCTCCAATTGAGGGACAACAGTAGTTGTTGTTATTTTTAGCTGCTTGATTATTAGTCCATAGACAGACTCAAAAATGATGACAAGAGACCACACTGGTGTCTGTGATAAAACGCTGCTCTTTAGGATTTGTTTTATGAATAGAGATTTTAACTGCTGTCTCAGGGTAACTTTTAGTCAAAATGCTAAAGTTTTCCTACAACTTGGCTGATTCTGAATGATAACATAAGCATGGCCTATATTTAAGCAGATTTGGGAGAAAGAAGAAGAGCATATTTAGAGCAAAATCTCCAGCTTCTCTACTTGTAAAGGCAACCTTCTACTTACCTACATTTACAATCTCTGAAAGCACATTATTAATGCTGCCTTTCAGTGGTGATCAGTCAGCCACATCGGTCATAACCCAGGCTGCCCTGCCAACCACCATCTGAATCAGACAGTCTAGTTGCAGTAGTAAATCATGGCTTCTGACATGTTTGCCACAGAAGTATATTCTTTGCAATTAATTTTCCCTTAATTTCTGACCAGCATTCATGACAGAACATGACATATATTAATGACTCTACTCACCCACAACTTTATGAATAACAGGAAGAAGTTAAAATATAGAATTTTTTTATCTCTATAAACTGAGGGCAATTATCATTTGAAAAGGAACAAAAATACAGTGTTTGAATGGGTAGGTAGTACAGGCACACCTCATTTTATTGCACTTTGCTTTATTGTGCTTTATGTATATTGTGTTTCTGCAAATTGAAGGTTGGTGGCAACCCTGTGTGAAGGAAGTTTATCAGTTTCCTTTTTCCCAAACACATTTGCTCACTTCCTGTCTGTTACCTTTTGATAATTCTTGCAATATTTCAAACTTTCTCATTATTATTGTATCAATTACAGTTGTCTGTGATCTGTGATCTTTGATGTTACTATTGTAATTGTTTTGGGATGCCACAAACCACACCCACATATGATGGCAAATATAATTAATAAGCATTGTGTGTGTTCTAACTGCTATGCCAACTGGGCATTCCTCCACCTCTCTCCCTCTCCTCAGGTCTCTATATTCCCTAAAAAAAAATATTAAAATTGGGTCAATTAGTAATCCTACAATGGCCTCTAAAGTGTTTAAGTAAAAAGAAGAGTTGCATATCTCTCACTTTAAATCACCCGCTTTAAATCAAAAGCTTAAAAATGATTAAGCTTAGTGAGGAAGCCATGTTGAAAGCTGAGACAGGACAAACGTTAGGCCTCTCATGCCAACAGGTTGGCCAAGTTGTGAATACCAAGGAAAAGTTCTTGAAGGAAATTGAACATGATACTCCAGTGAATACACAAATGATAAGAATGAAACAGGCTTCTTGTTCTTATTGCTAATACAGAAAAAGTTTTAGTAGTCTGAATAGAAGCTCAAACCAGCCACAACATTCCCTTAAGTCAAAGTCTAACCTAGAGCAGGACCCTAACTGTCTTCAATTCTATGAAGGCTGAGAGAGGTGAGGAAACTTCAGAAGGAAAGTCTGAAGCCAGCAGAGGTTTGTTCATGAGGCTTAAGCAAAGAAGCCTTCTCCATAACATAAAAATGCAAAGTGAAACAGCAAGTGCTGATGTAGAAGCTACAAAAAATTATCCAGAAGATATAGGTAATTGATGAAGATGGCTACACTAAACAACAGATTGTCAATATTGACCCCCAACAAAGAAAAGCCTTATATTGGAAGGAAAATGCCATCTAGGACTTTCGTAGCTTGAGAGGAGAAGTTAATGCTTGGCTTCAAAGCTTCAAAGGACAGGCTGACTCTCTTGTTAGGGGCTAATGCACCTGATGAACTTTACATTGAAGTCAGTGCTCACTGACCATTCCGAAAATCCTAGGGCCCTAATGAACTATGCTAAATCTACTCTGACTGTGCTCTATAAATGCAAGAGCAAAGTCTGAATGACAGCACATCTGCTTAGAGCACAGTTTGTTGAATATTTTAAGTCCACTATTGCGACCTACTTCTCACACAAAAGATTTCTTTCAAAATGTTACTGCACATTGACAATGCTCCCATGAATACTTACCCAAAAGCTCTGGTGGAGATTAATGTTGTTTTCATGCCTGCTAACATGACATCCATTCTGCAGCCCGTGGATCAAGGAATAATTTTGACTTTCAAGTTTTATTATTTAAGAAATACATTTCATAGAGCTATAGCTGCTATACGTAGTGACTCCTCTGATGAATCTGGGCAAAGTAAATTAAAAACCTTCTGAAAGGATTCACCATTCCAGATGCCATTAAGAACATTCGTGATTTATGTGAGGAGGTCAAAACAGCAACATTAACAAGAGTTTGGAAGAAACTGATTCCAATCCTCATGGATGACTTTGATGGGTTAAAGACTTCAGTGGAGGAAGTAACTGAGTATGTAACAGCAAGAGAACTAGAATTAGAAATAGAGCCTGGTGTTGTGACTGAATTGCTGTAATATTATTATAAAACTTTAACAAATGACAAATTGCTACTTATGGATTAGTAAAGAAACTAGTTTCTTGAGATGGAATCCGCTCCTGGTGAAGATGCTGAGAACATTGCTGAAATGACAACAAAAAATTTAGAATATTACATAAACTTAGTTGGCAAAGCAGCAGCAGAGTTTGAAAGGATTGACTTGAATTTTGCAAGAAGTTCTACTCTGGGTAAAATGCTATCAAAAAGCATCACATGCTACAGAGAAATCATTCATAAAAGGGAAAGCCAACTGATGCAGCCAACTTTATTGTCTTATTTTAAGAAATTGCCACAGATATTCCAACCTTCAGCAACTAACACTTTGATCAGTCGGCAGCCATCAACATCAAGGCAAGGCCTTCCAGTAGCAAAAAGATGAGGACTCATTGAAGGCCCAGATGATCACTAGCTTTTTTTTAGCAATTAAGTATTTTTAATGAAAGTACATACATTGTGTTTTTATACATAATGTTATTGAACACCTAATAAATTACAATATGGTGTAAACATAACTTTTAGATGCAATAGAAAATAAAAAAAATTCATGTAACTCCCTTCAATGCAATATACACTTTACTCTGGTGGTCTAGAACTGAACCTGCAATATCTCCAAGGTATGCCTGTAAATGTAGAGAATAAGAGAGATAATAGGTAGTCAACAAATAAATAAGGTACCAAGGATATCAAGAGATACACGATATATTTTTGAGAAATTTAAAATTATTTAAATACATTGAAAAAGACAATTTAAAAAATAAATAGAGGCATCATTTTTAAGTGGAGAAAGACTCCATGTCACTAAAGTATCAATTCTCCCTAAATTGTCAAAGCAATAGAATCAATGTAATTCCAAACAAAATATCAATTCATTTTAAATTTGATGAACTAGTTTTATATTGTATTTGAAAGAATAAAAGACCAGGAATACACAAAATATTACCTAAGAAAATCAAAGTAGAAAGATATACCCACACAAATCAAGATCTGCTATAAAACATTATTAATTAGGGTAGTGGAGTCTTGATATAGTGATAAATAGGTCAAAAAAGAAAATAGAGAGTTTCCATGTTTTTAATTTACAGCAGTGGTGTCATGGTGTATGTAACATTTGATAATTTTCATTTTTATTAAACATTATGATTTGGAGACTTATCCATGTTAACTCATAGTTAATTCATTTAAATCTATATAATATGCCATCACATAAACAGAACTTAACTTTTCCAGTCATCTTATGATGTTTCTTTAGGTGGTTCTCAGTTTTCCACTTACACAATAGCATGATGAATCTCCTTATTCTTTCTGCCCCTACATGAAGGCATGTCTAAGATAATACTGTTTGTAGATAGACAAATTCATCTTCGAAAGTTATACAGTACCAAGTCATTTTACGAAGGAATTGCACTCCCATCAGAGGTCATCTTAACCTACACCTTCACCAATTTTGTATTTTCAAGATTTTTCATTTTTGCCTATTTCACAGAATGAACTGATATTTTATTTTTGCTTTAATCTTATTTGCCTGGTTACAACTGCAATTGTGTCTATCTATCGATTATTCAGAATTCCTCTTTAGTGAATTACTTTGTTAGTACATTGTGCCCCATTTTTTCTATCTTCCGTGAATGTATATCCTTCTTGTCTCCCTGTTTTTTATGATAAAATATTCAGACTGTTTAAATAATAAAGCCAATATATGCATCATGTATCTACTACTCACCTTTAATACATGTTCTCTGTTGGCAAATTTGTTTCACATATTTTGAGTAAAAACACTCCAAGTAAACTTCATATTCATGCATGCTTTCCTCATTCCATTTTAGTAGTGGATTACATGCTTTTAAACTTTATAAAAATGTCATCATGCTCTTGATATCACTTTGCAAAATTCTTTTTTTAACTCAACATTATGTTTAGCAACACTTCATGCTGATATATATATAATGCAAGATCATTTTTATTTTTATAGTACTCTACTATATGAGTATATAATTTGTTTATTAATTTTCCCCTAACATTCATATTCTTTTCATTTTCATCATTAAGCAATTAAGCATTGAACATTCTTCCTCATTTCTTTGTGAAAGTATACACCTAGCCTAAGCAAACTTCGGATTTACTAGATTGCCAAATTGTTCTCAAAGAAGTTTTAATTTCCATTAACATCCCCAATTGTGATACATCAAGTCTTCATGAATATACATGTATGTCAATATAGCAACTACCATAAATTTTACTTCTGCAATAATATTAACATAAAATTGCACTTTCTTGTTTTGACTGCATTTCCTGATTACTACTTAAGTTGAACATTATTGACCTATGGAGGCCATTTAGGGTTCCTCTTCTGAGAATTGCCTGTTCATATCTTTCACATATTTGTCCATTGAATTATTCAACTTTTTATGTTCTCAAGCTACTAAATCTTTCACAGTTATATGTTCTCCAAACATCTTCTTTCATACTGACTTCTATTTTAATCCTTCCCATGTAAATAGATAGATGCTATACAGAAGTTTTAATTTTTAATCTGTGAAAATTCGTAATTTATGTCTTGTGCTTTTTATGAATTGTTTAAAATTTTCTCTCTACTCTGAGATGGTACAATATTTTCTCTGTACCTGTTTTTTAGTTTGATATGTTTCTGTTTGGTATTTTGCAATTCCATCTGGAATAGGTTTTTGTGTATGATGTGAGATAGGGATCTAATTTATCTTAATTTTTCTATTTAGACAGCCAATTGTGCCAGCTCTACTTACTAAATAATCATCCCCACTGTTTTTTATTATGCTCACCATATATCAAGTTTTTATATATGTGGGTGTGTATTTCTGAGCTTTCTGTTCTATTCTGATGCAGAGAGAGGAAACCCCATACATCATAACCCTTTCTTCTTGACAATTTGTATTATGATTACTGTAACATTTACAGTTATTTCTACCATATTATTTTATAGTTTCTATTTGCCATTCTTTTCTTTGCTTCTTTTGACCCCTTTTCCTGCCTTTGGATAGACTAATAAAAACTTTTTTTCTCTTTTTGTTATATGAACATTGTTATTTGAAAGCTAAAGACAACTTGTTTCTTTTAATGCTCTCAAAAAATTAAAATATACTCTTACGCTTGCATATGCCTCATGAAAACATGATTTAATCATCATTGAACTTCACAATGTATCTTGTTATTTGTGTTAAAAATTAGTTTCACTTTATTTGTATTGGAGGGAAGCACCATCACAATGGTTAACTTTTCTGACTTTTTAAGTTTCTGTCCATTATAGTTATATTTACAAATCATAACCTCCTTCTGGGTTCATTTTCTTCTTGGTGAACTTTATCTACTTCCTTTATAAAGCACGGCGGATAGTAAACTCTCCTAATCTTTGTCTATTTTTTTTTTTTTACTTTTGCCTTTGTTCTTGAAAGAGTGTTTGACTAGGTATGAAATTCTATTTTTCCTTAGCTCTTTGAAGGGATTGTCTTCCAGCGATGAGAAAGTTGTAGGAGCAAGGAGCAGAGGCTGCCAGAGTTGCCTCCAAACAAGAAATGGAGGAGGCTTGCTAGTTCCTAAATCCTTTTGCTTTCTAGAAAGTTTTCCTATGTTCAGCCTGCTGGACACTTGTTGGGCTGCACAGACATCCATCCTTTCCTCTCCCCACACCAACATACACAAAACTCCTTTTCTGCGCCAGGCTATGAGCTTATTATTTCAAACACAGTTTGACAATCACCTGACAATCCTATAACAACCCCACTAACACTGACAACCACTGGGGGAATTTAACTCTTAAAACCTTACTGTAGACTTCA
The DNA here is from genome assembly GCF_000001405.40 of Homo sapiens. Lineage (NCBI taxonomy): Eukaryota > Metazoa > Chordata > Mammalia > Primates > Hominidae > Homo > Homo sapiens. The sequence goes on from NC_000002.12 coordinate 53,241,927, forward strand.
AGTTACATCAACATAGCAGACTAAGCTGAGCTAAAAGACACCATAATCTTACCAAAAATACTAACAAAGGCTAGACAAACTATAACAACATTTAAATGCACAACCCAAACAAGTTATAACATAAAGAGGGACTCCCAAAGAACTAAGCAGGCTGAGCAAGGTGGTCCATGGGTGTGAGGTCTCTGCAAAGGTCTCCAGGAAGCTGATCCATGAGGCCTGGTTAGCCAGCTGCCTCCTTTTCCTGAAATTTTCCAACCCAAGGCTTACGTGCAGACCTCCACGTCTCCACAAATTTGAGCATCTTCTCTGGCCAAGCTGGCCCAACGCCAAGTTTATGGTGTGTATACAGCTACAGCCAGCCCACATCCATGCCTGCAAGTCTGGGTAGTCAGGGCCAGCCTCCAGGCTGCTCTCTGCTGCCCCAGGCATTGGGCACAGCAAGGGTGGATGCTGTCACATTCTCCTAGGACTGTTGAAAAATTGAAACTTAGATTTGTCTTCACTTCAGAGAACAATAAGGAAAAAGATCATTTATCTCAGAAAACATAAAACAATTTCAATTACTTTGTCAGGATTTTTATGTCAAAACTGCCATATTGATTCTTTGTACGTGCCTAGATCTGGGCATCAGTTTTAGCAATCTTATTTGGAAAGAAATGATATGTAGAGAGAAAAAAAAAGTCCCTTCCTCTGAAATTGGCTATAGGAATGAAGCTGTACTTCATTTTAAACCCTGCCACTCCTATAACTCATTGATTTCCAACTCAAAAATTTTGTGCATATTTTGGTTAGGATTCTTTCTGTTGCAAGTGACAGAAAACTCAAACTGGCATAAATGAACAGGGTAACTTAACGGGAGCAACAACTAAAAATCTGGGACTTTTTTTCCAGAGGTTCAAAAATTCACTGGGATGTGGTCTATTCCCTGATTTTTATTCCACTCTCCTCCATATTAACTTCATTCTCATGGTCCTTACAGCAACAAAATAGCTGTGTGCACGTACTCATTCCTGAGCCAAACACTGTGTGGCTATGAGAATATAAAATCCTGATTGGCTAGATCTGAGTCACCAATGGAGAATAGGGAACAGATGGTTCCCCAGAGGAAAAATGGGGTGATTTTATCCAAAGAATAGTAAGTGCTATGTGACCAAAATAATAGATGCTCACTGTAACCCTAAAGGAAGTTAAATAATAATAGCAATTAACATACTTGGGTGTCATAAACAAATTTAGGAGTACCTGACATCATTTTTTAGTTTAAGGGTTTTTTTAACTAACATTAAAATTTTCTTTAAAGACCTATATTGACAGAAAGCTTTCTAGGCATTCCCAAATCCATTTTAGTAAAATGAATAGGACAAAAAAATGAAATCTCACAGGCTTGATGAACAATTTGTTGTTGATATTCTAGTGATGATAGAGGAGGCACTAGAATCAATATCCAAATTTAGCCTGATCCCAGAATTTCAGTCTTGAAAAACAAAAAGTGAGTAAGCCGGCACTAGTGTAATACTTGTCTCCAGTGTTTGTTGTCTTTATTTTTTACATTAAACATTTATATGTGGTTCCTAAGAGAGTTAAAGTAATTAGAGATGAAAAATCTTTAATTCTCAATGATTCATGCTCCCTCCCATCTCTCTAGGATTTCATAGGAAACTGCTTTGACATATCATCAGCTGTAAATTACTTTAATGACTTCTCTACCACATTTAACTCCCACCTATGAAAGTGATTTAGTTCCTTAATTTGTACAACACCTGAACACATAAACATCAATACCATTCAGAGATCTAGAAGAATGTCATTTGCTATAGTACTTAAAAGCAAATTAAATTTGTCTCCAGAAAATATTAGTCATTTTAACATTCATCTCCATGTAATCAAGTAACTTCAATTAGATTAATAGCACTGAAATCTCTGAAAACATGTTCATACAAATGAATTTTATTAAACATGAGACTAAGCACTGCTAAAATAATATTATTTCAAGTATACTGATTTTTAATATATATGAAAATTATGGCTAACACTTCCTAATTTTTTTTGTGCAGTGTCATATTTTCTCTAAAAGCATTTGAATACACTGACAATATGAGTTGATTTTGAAAATATTAACTGATGGGGATTTTATTATAAATTCTAAGTCTATCCACAATGTATAATCTTCTCAAAGTCACAGAAACTGTTATCTGCTGTATTGGATATGCCACCTTAATCAATCCAAATTTCAAATATCCTAGGCTTAAGACCTCGAATAGTTTGGGCTAGAAAGAGGGTCACAGGCAAATATACTTTAATTAAAATGATAGCATATATTTCTGGATTGAAGAAAAAGGGCATTTTTTCTTATGAATCATGTTTACTAGTCAGTCATTGCCATATTGCTATTTCTGTATCCTGCTTTTCTCAATATCTCACAAAGTATTCAGGAAATTAGGAAAATGTTTTTTACTTAAAACTGTCTTAGATTTACAAAAAATACATATATGTGAGTGTGCGTGTGTGTATGCACACACACATGCACACTCAAATAAAAGCCACTAGCTCATTGCTTTAAAGTAGTACAGTGATAAGCACTATTCAATCAATTAGCAAACAAAAAGTAAAATTTAGTAGCAAATTACATATGAAACAACACCATACAAAATTTTTAAATGCTCAATAAAAGGTGGCTAACAGAAAGTATATTTTGGAAATACTTACTATGAAATAAAGCTGAACAAAAAATAGAAAACCTTGGTCTTGAACATAATTATTAAAAAATACTGAATTGGAATATACTTCTAATTGAAAATCTATGTTAGTTAAATTATGACATTAAATCCACTTTGGGGCACTAGCTAGTTGGAAGAAAAGAGGAACAAGACAGTCAAATAACAGTTACTCAGTTATTCATTAAACTTACACATTTTTATGCCAAGAAAACAAAGTTTTTTTGTTTGTTTGTTTTTGAGATGGAGTCTTGCCCTGCCGCCGAGGCTGGAGTGCAATGGCATGATCTCGGCTCACTGCAACCTCCACCTCCTGGGTTCAAATGATTCTCCTGCCTCAGCCTCCTGAGTAGCTGGGATTACAGGCACCCACCACCACGCCCAGGTAATTTTTGTATTTTTAGTAGAGATGGCATTTCACCATGTTGGCCAGGCTGGTCTCGAATTCCTGACCTCGTGATCCGCCCACCTCAGCCTCCCAAAGTGCTGGGATTACAGGTGTGAGCCACCGTGCCTGGCCAAGAAAACAAAGTTTTTAAACGAAAACTCTAGTTCTAGAGGAGAGAGAAACACTAAATTGAACATGAAGGAAAACAATATAAGCACTGTAGAGAGCCCCTCTCTGAACATTCTTCATCCCTGCCCTAAGCACCTCTGCATTTATATGCCTTCTGTTTTCCTCTGAAGATCTTTCTTACCCCAACCCCACTTAGCACAAAGAGTACATTTTCTGCATTATCTTTCCAGAAACTTTCTAGTCATTGTTCATAGTTCCCTTCTCTATTCTCCCTAATACTTTTTTCAAACTATGTTTTTAATAATAAAATTAGTCATAGCAATTTACATTTATGCAGCATTTAATGGCATCCTACTAAGTTCTTTACATGCTTATGACAATTCTATGAGGTGATACAAATTAATTTAAAAATAGAATCTGATGCTGGTAACATTGTGGAGAAAAGGGAACACTTATACGTTGCTGGTGGAAGTGTAAATTAGTTCAGCCACTGTAGAGGCAGTTTGGAGATTTCTCAAAGAACTTAAAACAGAACTACACTTGACCCAGCAATCCCATTACTGGGTATATGCCCAAAGGAACACAAACCATCCTCCCATAAAGACACATGCACACATGTTTATCATAGCACTATTCACAATAGCAAAGATGTGGAATCAACCTAGGTGCCCATCAGTGGTGGACTGGATACCGAAAATGTGGAAATGTGGCACATATATGGCATGGAATATACCATGCAGCCACAAAAAAAGAATGAAATCATGTCCTTTGCAGCAACATGGATGGAGCTGGAGGACATTATCCTAAGCAAATTAACACAGAAACAGAAAAGCAAATACCACGTTCTCACTTATAAGTGGGAGCTAAACATTGGGTACTCGTGGACACAAAGAAGGGAATAATAGATATCAAGGCCTACTTGACGGTGGAGAGTGGAAGGAGGGTGAGGATCAAAAATCTACCCATTAAGTACTGTTTATTACCTGGGGGGCAAAATAATCTGTACACCAAATCCCTGCAACATGCAATCTACCCATGTAACAAACTGGCATGTATACTCCCTGCACCTAACATAAAAGTTGGAAAGTAAAAAAAAAAATAAATAAATAAAAATAATCTGAGGCCTATAGTGGCATACGAACTGATTACAGTCGCAGGGCTAATGTTCGATGGGCACGAAGTTTACACCCGGTGGGAGGGGCGGGGTCTCCCTTCAGATCCAGTGCTATTATCCTGCTTCTGCTGACAATACTGACCCTGAGCATGGTGGGTTGTGTTTAGCCTTTTTACTGTGCTTAAAGGCAGGCTTTTGAGGAGAGAACACTTTTCACTCAAATTTTTACATCGGAAACTAATAAATAAATAAAGGCCTTAGCACATTGTAGATACCCAAATGTCTACTGAATAAATGAATTAATGAATGCGAAACTACTTACTGATTAAACCATCTCAGTAAAAACAAGACAAAACTTACTATGTTCTAGACACCAAATAGGTGGCCTGACATTGTTCTCTTTTTTGCTATTTTGTGTGTGTATATGTGTGTGTGTGTACATACACATATATAAAAAATATATACATATATGTGTATATATATAACACATATATACACATCAGAGCTTATTAAAAATAAATGGAAATTTATCCAACTTGCAATCAAGTAAATTTTGCCAGTTTTTCTTAGTTCTCCAAATTCAACCTGTAAGGCACTTTTTAAAGCACCTTTCTATTTAACTTTTCAAAAGAAGGATATCCCTTTTAATGGGAAATCTGTATTTATCATAAAGTAAAACACAATGTGCTCAACTTAATTTGCCTTCTAAGAGGTCCATTTTGTCATCAATATTGGCCAGTAGACAAGATAGACTCCAAAAAATATATGTATTTCAGGCATGAGAGACCAGAGTTATACTAGACTAAAAAGAATGAAAAATGAAACCTCCATTCCCACTGTACTGAAAGACTTAATTTATAAATGCTCCATTATCACTGAACCCTCTACTTCTGTTCAAGAATCCATGAGAGCAGAACAAGTAAAGAACTTTTATATCTGAAAGAAAATCAGTCAGCTCCAAGTTTAAGTGAAAATTTAAACCACAAGGCATGCCACAAAGTTTTGAATATTTGGAAAACATAACTTTTTACTCTAATAGCATCTTGTGTGTCTAATAGCAAAGTTATTTCTAATTAATCACTTTCATAATTGCATTTTTTAAAACCCAAGTACCTAGGGTACTGGTTAGTTACTAGTTTAATTACAAAGCATATAATTATTGCTGGCAACATCTATGGCAGTGGTTCTTGACAGTTTGAAAACACAAACCTCTTTGAGCATCTGCTTAAAGCCTGGATCCTCTTCCTTAAAAAAATACATGTATACGGATAAATACTCCAAATTTACATAACATCTTGCTGTGTGAGGTGGGGGGTTGGGGGGGCGGTTATAGATGCCTAAAGCCTACTGACGGGCCCCACATGATTCATAGCCCACTCCCTTCCTTAAATCCCATGCTCTGAGAAAAGCTGAAGACTTTCTCCCTCCTTAGTCCTTTCCTATGGAGGAACAAGTTTGACAGACAAGGACACAATGGAGATCTCAGGAAGATACAAAAATGCCACATCACTAAGTAATAAAATCTTTAGCAGAAAGCAGTATCAACAAAATTTGACTTGGCCAAATGTTAACTTTTCTGTTTTGAACTTTCTTCTGCAAGATTCAGTGCTTTATTCAACAAATATGAACTGAGCTCCTACTCTGGGCCTGCATGTCCTGCTACCCATCACAAACCCAGGGGGAATCCAGCTTAAGGGCTGGAGGAGACTGCTAGGACCCGAAGAAAGGGTCTTTATGACCGTCACATGGTCCAGGACATGTTGCCAGGGTGGGCAACCAAATAGGCTGTAAAGCCCAAGTCCTTATGAGCAACAGTGTGCATGTGTCTATCCATTTATGGTGCATAAATTCCAGTGAATTCTAATAGAGCAGCAGATGTCAAGACCCTCAGTGAGAACCTATCCAGACCAAATCAATGATGACAGTAATCGCCTTTTCCAATTTTCAGTTCAAACAGTTCCAAGACAGCTCAACACAGTTCCAAATGTGCTTATTCATAAATAATAAATCCCTAAGGCTACTGAATACCTATCTGGTTGGTATTTGTGAGGAAATCTATGCTATTTTGCTGTGTATATTTTGAAATAATACTACTTCTTTAAATATTTTTGAAGGATATCCCACTTAGGGAACAACAAAAATTAAAGGTGGCTCATTAGATTTGCATAGTGATTAAAAATGCACTGATCTAACCGGGCATTATGTGCATGTTATTTAGGAGTACGCCCTTCCTTTAAGACAATGAATAAATGTTTAGTATGCAGATAACAGAACTGTAGAACAATGCCTTCACTGGGGAGAAACGAGCTAGTCCACAGAGGAAGCCTTGAGAAGACTAATCAGGTTTCCCAGTTGCTCATTTGCCTTGGCTCATGGAGAAATTAATGTTAGGAAAATCTAAAAGGTACAGCCCAGCTGGAATCTGGTAGTTTAATTGCCCTGCACTAGAGACCAGTGGTCCTGCCGGGTCTTGGGTGTGCAAAGTCCTTACAAAGCTCTGTACTTTGACTGCTGTGAATACTCAACCAGGAGAATTCTGTCTAAGAGGAAGGACTATAGATTTTTCTAAATAGGATTCTATTTTTAGATCTATTCATTTACCTTTTTGTAAATTCATTGCAACGTTAACTCATATACCAGAACATTATTTCTAAGAAAACACTGACTAATGTCCTCCATGGCCAAATAGAACTGAAACAAGTCACATTCTGGATGATTAACACTATTTTTAGCCATGCTCAGGATGGGAGGTAGCCCCTGCATATAAACTGCAGTCCTGTGAATAAATGTATACCACTTTATACACACTTCAGCAGAGGTGCTGCAAAGATAGACTGAAGCAAATTCGGGAGGTTCAAATGAAAGTGATTTTTCTGGAGTCTGTTTCATTTCCACAGCATGGCCAACTCTCAAACATATTCTGAATACTTTTGCCAAATTGTGTGACAATACGTGTGGTCCAAGATAAGAAAATGCCATTCACTTTTAGCCAAAATGTTATTTTAAGTAAAATGGATTTTATTAAATAATAATCAAATGACTTTTCCAAACTGTTTTGCACTGGCTGAAATCTGTACTCGCTATCTCAGTGAATAATGAGCCCCAGTTCTGAAACTTCATGGGAACTCTCTATCTTGGGCCATATTAACTATATGAAAGTCATTCATTGCATATATAAGAAACTGAATTCAATTCAACTAATTGGCTGTCTAATCTTCTGGGTGAAAAAAAAAAGGCCTGGATGTAAGGTGGGAAATGCGGATTCTAGTCATTAATGCTTCTATCCAGCTGGAGAGCTTTGGACAAATCACAGAACGTTTACCTTCTCACTCTTATATTAGAAAACATTACCTAAGCCTCTGACATAACAAAAGCAAAACTTTGTTTACCATGCTTTATGAAGAAAGTTGTATTATAAATGCATTAGTAAGACCTTCCATTTAAATAGAACATTAAAATGTACACTGGGGTCCAGTTGCATCAAGAAGAGTTCCCTACTCAGCTCTTGTATATTAGAAAAGAAGAAAGTGAAACTGATTCTGTCCTGTGATTCTTTGCAGCATCTTATGGCAAAATTTAAGGCAGAATATCTGGCTCCTGAAAGATGTTCTCTGTTCATTATCCTAATACTAATGGGAGAAAGTAGAACATATGGAGAGAAAAAACTAACTTCAGACCAGCACATTTGGAAGCAGATTCTATCTTAATCCATACTTTACTTCCTGATATGATTTGGCTGTGTCCCCGCCCAAATCTCATCTTGAAATGTTGCTCCCATAATTCTCACATCATGGGAGGGACCCAGGGAGAGGTGATTGAATCATGAGGATCGGTTTTTCTGTGCTGTTCTCATGAGAGTAAGTTTCATGAGATCTGATGGTTTGATAAAGGGGAGTTCCCCTGTACACCCTCTCTCTTGCCTGCTGCCATGTAAGAGGTGTCTTGCTTCCCCTTCACTTTCCCCCATGATTGTGAGGCACCCCCGGCCATGTGGAAATGTGAATCAATTAAACCTCTTCCCTTAATAAATTACCCAGTCCCCGGTAAATTTTTATTAGCATCATGAGAACAGATTAATATACTTTTCAACAGAGGAAATGCCTCTTTGAATCCCCGAAGAAAGTGGAGATGGTGTAGGGGAGTGGAGAAGGAGTTGTCTAGATGATAATTAATAATGATCATTACTACAAGATTTGTTGGAGGAAATTCTTTTCACACTAAACATTGGGAGCAATCTCATCTCTTCAATCACCAGTCCAAGATACTGTCAAATGGGTTTCAACATTCACAGAGAATCTAATTTCCTTTGCCATAGCAGTTGATAAGTATATTTATTACGGTGGAGCCGAGGAAAAAAAATTAAGCAGAAAGAAAAGTCAGGTAACTCCAGATGTCCAAGAAAACTCAATGATTAATTTTCTGATGTTGGAGAGAAAAGGTTTATGCTTATTCTATCTCATCTGTATTAGCCATCTATTGCTGCATAACAAATTACTCCCCAAAATTATCAGACTAAAACAAGCATTTATCGTCTCCAGCAGTTTCTGATGGTCAAGAATCTAGGAGGAACTTATCTGGGTGGTTCTGCCTCAGCTTTTCTCACTAGTTTGCAGACAAGTTGTCAGCTGGGGCAGTAGTCATTTCGAGACTGGACTAATGCTACGGAACCTGCTTCCAAGCTCATCTGTGTGGTTGCTGGCAGGCCTCACTTTCTTTTTTTTTAATTATACTTTACGTTTTAGTTTACATGTGTAGAACGTGCAGTTTTGTTACACAGGTATACACGTGCCATGGTTTGCTGCACCCATCAACCCGTCACCTACATTAGGTATTTCTCCTACTGTTATCCATCCCCTAGCCCCCCACCCCACGACAGGCCCTGGTGTATCATGTTCCCCTCTCTGGGTCCGTGTGTTCTCATTGTTCAACTCCCACTTATGAGTGAGAACATGCGGTGTTTGGTTTTCTGATCTTGTGATAGACTGCTGATAATGATGGTTTCCAGCTTCATCCATGTCCCTGCAAAGGACATGAACTCATCCTTTTTTATCGGGCAGGCCTCACTTTCTTACTGACTGTTGGCCAGAGGTTTCAATTCCTTACTGCATGGATTCCTGGATAGGGCTGCTCACAGGATGGTAGCCTACTTTCTCCAGAGCAAGAGATTTGAGACAGAGAGACAGACAGACAGACAGACAGACAGAGAATGAGAGAGAATGAGAATGTATTCAAGATGAAAACTACCATCTTTTATAACCTGACCTCAGAAGTGAGTTAGCTTCACTTCTACTTTATGCTATGGACTAACCCTGGTAAAATGTGGAAGACTATACAGGCGTATGATTACGAGGTGGTGGGGACCACTCGGGCTCATCTTAGAGGTTAGCCATAGCACTATCTAACTTACAAGAGGGCTGCAAGAAATCAGCTCTGGCCACCATAAAAATGACTAGTGATTCAGCGAGTAGGATCTGGGCACAAGGAAGCTAATCACTAATACTCTATCTTTCATATCAAATAAAAATAAAAATATCTTTATTTTCCCCATAAAGTACATATGTTTCTTCTCTCCTTGTAAAGTCTACATAACTTCATTGGCTAAGCTAGTCAGTCTTACCCAATTTCTAACTCACATTCACCAAACATGTAGTGTGGTGAGAAAGACAAGACCTCATTTCTGTAAAAGTGCTTGCCTTTCACAGAATATTCTCTCTATAGCATTCTGCCTTGCCCACAATAGTTGAAGCTATTTTCCTGGAAAAAGCAGGCAAACAAAGGAAAATAAAACCTTCTTAGGATAACTAGAAGCAGTGTTAGGAAAATGATAATCCAATTAATGCTTTTCCCAGAAGACAAGAGACACCTCCCATAGCAGGCTTGCACCTGGCTTCTCTCTGGCCAGATACTCACCTCAGCCTAACAGAAAATTGTCAGATCAACATTTGAAACTTGAGCTGCAGTAAGGTAACCTGATATTCTGAGAAAAGGAGGCTCTTCCTTTTCTAAATATTTATGTTAGATAAATATAAAACATTCCATGCGAGTGGGAAGGAAAAATAGAGCTATGATAATACTGCAGTGGAGGGGTGTATTGCTATTCAAATGCCTTATGTGCCAGTGACACTGGAGGAAGCTGTAGGGGGTGGGAGTATATAGAGGTGGGTCCCACCTTCCTCCCTCCCTCCCTTCCTGAACATTGTGATAACCCTTCCTATGGGCTTGTCCCTTCCTTCTGAGTTGAGAATGACTACCAAACTGAGCCATTTTTAATGACGGGTGTTTCATCTCTCAAGGGGTATAAGGAAGAGTGTCTTTATCAATTAATAGACTCAGTGACAACTATTTCCATGAGATATACCTATCTCATGGAACAAACATAAAGGAAAAAACAAATTCCTCTACATAAAGGAATTTGTTTACTTACTTACCAATGTTCAATCTAGTTCCAAAAAAAAATTATTGTGATTTATAAGGATTTTTATAATATAACAAAAATAACATGTACTAGTTGTAAAAGAAACAATACAGGGAAACAAACCATGGAGAATAAGTTTGTGAGCAAGGAATGTAGTTGCTACTGAGGGCAACAAATTTACCTCTAAATGTTCCAGCAGACTGCCCACCTGAGAAAAGGGAAATTTGTTCTAAATTCAGTTTTCATTTCAAGAAAATACTAACAAAGTCCTAAAAGAGTCACAACTACCTTTTTTTTTGAGATCGGGGTCTCAATTCTGTCACCCAGGCTGGGTGCAGTGGTACAATCATGGCTCACTGCACTATAGCTTCAAACTCCTGGGCTCAAGTGATCCACCCATCTCAGCCTCTTGAGTAGCTGGGACTATAGGCATGCATCACCATTTCAGGCTAATTATTATTTTTTTTAATTTTTGCAGAGGCACAGTCTCACTATGGTATCCAGTCTAGTCTCAAACTCCTACCCACAAGTGATCCTCCCACCTCAGCCTCCCAAAGTGCTGGGATTACAACTATTCTTAAATTAAGATCAGACCCAGAGCTCCACTGGGGATTCCTATGCAATGGTATTTATACAATAAAAATAAGAGAATGTGGCACTGACCTCTTTCTCACACTGACTTCATCAGCAACCTGTAAACATGGGTCTGCAGGACCACATGTAGCAGAGACTATGTTAACCTCATTTCCTCTTCGTGCATACACAGAAACTCTACATTTCCCACCCTCCCTTGAGACTAGGTTGGGGCCATGTGACTAGGTTCTGGCCTATGCAAAGCAATGTACCCTCCATCTGGGTCTGGACATAACTCCTCCCTGTTCTCTTCATCCACAGTACTTTGCAGGCCCACGTTTAAGATGGCAGTTTCACACAAGGGAAGGAGAGAATATATCCTTAGCTCAGAAGAGTATCTCCAAGGAGAGCCATTCAACCTGCACTAGATTGTGACATGAGCAAAAATTAACCTTGGTGCATTAATTTTCCTGACTAAAATAATGAACTCCATCAATACAGGGTTCACAATTCCAGCTCTCTGTAGATACGAGTTAACAGTTTAGAATATCTAGAAGAAGAGATAGATTATAAATATTTCACACAGCCCTCCCTCAACATTGTTTTGATAATGATGCTGATGCTGATGTAATAATAATAATAACAACAACGATAATAATAGCCAACACTTGGATCTCACTATGTGCCAGGCTCTACTGCAAGCTCTTTCAATATGTTAACACATTGAATCCTCGAAATATATTAATTCCTTTAATCCTCTCCAGTATCTTTAATTTTCACATGAGGAAACCATAGAAGAGAGTAGCTAAGTGCTTTGTCCAAGGTCATGGAGTAAAACGTGGCACCAAAATTAGATTCCGGGAGTATAATTCCAGAGTTTGTGTTTCTAACTTCTATATTACACTTTATTTTATAAAATAATAAGATTGGTATTGTGCTTGCTGAAGAGCTATTAAATACTTCCAGTTGTCTAAAGGTACAGAGAATTCACAATACCTAGCAGCTGAAGTATGGCTGGCATCACTTGAAATAGCTGAGGAGCCTAATGAGTCACTAATCTTAAGAGCTGCCCATGCCTTCTCAAACGAATTTATCCTGGCTGGGCATGGAGGCTCACGCCTCTAATCCCAGCACTTTGGGAGGCCAAGATGGGCAGATCACAATGTCAGGAGTTCGAGACCAGCCTAGTCAACACAGTGAAACCCTATCTCTACTAAAAACACAAAAAATTAGCTGGGTGTGGTGGTGAGCACCTGTAATCCCAGCTACTCGGGAAGATGAGGAAGGAGAATCGCTTGAACCTGGGAGGCAGAAGTTGCAGTGAGCCGAGATCGTGCCACTGCACTCCAGCCCAGGTGACAGTCTGAGACTCCAGCTCAAAAAAAAAAAAAAAAAAAAGAAAAAAAAGAATTTATCCTCCTGGATGCAGTAGCTCACACATGTAATCCCAACACTTTGGGAGGCTGAGGTGGGTGAATCGCTTGAGGCCAGGAGTTCAAGACAAGCCTGGGCAACATGGTGGGATCCTGCCTCTCCACCCCATCTCTACAAAAAATAGAAAAATTACCTTTGCATGGTGGTGCATGCCTGTAGACCCAGCTACCCATTAGGCTAAGGTGATAAGATCCCCTGAGACCAGGAGGTGGAGCCTGCACTGAGCTATGATTGCACCACTGCACTCCAGCCCAGGTGACAGAATTCAGACCCTATCTCAAAAAAAAAAAAAAAAAAAAGAGAGAATTATCCTAGATAGAACCAAGATTATCTTTTGAAATGAGTTTTCAATATTATCCTGCTGTATGATATACCTTATTGGGTTGATGTAACAATCTCTACAATTTACTTTTAAATAACTTTACATAGTGTAATATTAAGTATATGCTAGTCAGCTTAAGGTTTAACTCTAGGGGCATATGGTTGCCCTAATTTAACAATAAAATGTGACAAAATCCTACTTTCTCAGTGCAGACAAAATATAAATTTGTTATTTCTTGGTCATACTAATTCCATCATATACTTTTTTTTTGCGATTTGGTCATTGACCATATGTGGCATCCCAGAAGACAATCAAACACACTAGGGCTCCATGGTTAGTTCTCCTTGCTATAATTAATCATGTGGAAAACAAATTTAACCTTTCTGTTAACTCAAATATCACTTCTATTAGCTTCTTGCAGTTTGTGCTAAAGTGCGTAATAATTAATTTTGTAATTTCATGTAAAATTCTACATACCTTCCTCAAATATATACGTATCACAAAAACTGTAGATCAAGAAGGCAATGTTTAATGTCATCTAATCCAACTCCTCTTTCCAGAGAGGAAAACATGAAGGCCCAGACAGGGTAAATGATTTGTGCCAGGTCCAGCATTTGGCTGCCCCTGCAAGCCCTTCCACAGCTTCATACGGTCCCGTAAGTAGTCCCATGACATAACTTTTTAAGTACTTAGCATAGTAAAAAAAAAAAAAAACAGAAGCATTCTCAGTTGAGGTGGGGAATGTCTGCTACTGAAATAAATGCAACAATTTAATTCTGAGAGGAAAATGCTGCTCAAAGTCTTCTTCCAACATGGCCTTTCCTATCAAACAGCACAATCAAATTTTTGGATGCCATCCTTGTCATCTGGAGGGCTGGGTTTACTCATCACTGAGAACCCAGACAATATGGATTTGCTAGAAACTTGGAAAATATCTGAGTTAGGAGCCACCCTGTCTGTCACTAGGTAACCTGAGGCACTGCTCTCCCAAATGACCAGTCTTTCTGGGAGCCCTTTACCAGCTCCCTGGTTGCCCCCAAACGTTTCAATAATTCAGCTCTGTAGAAGGCTGTTTTTGGCACCAAAAGCAGAGTGAAAAACAGCTTTGCAAAGAAATAACAGGCAACCAGTATCCAATAAAACTTTTAGAAAATTTCACCGAAGGAAAAAAAATCCCCGAGTTCACGGCAAAAATTTTAAGAAAACAACAAAATTATCACAAAAATAGGAGGCAGACTCAGAAGCCTTAGGGGTTAAAAAGAAACATGCATGGCCGGGCACGGTGGCTCACGCCTGTAATCCAGAGGCCGAGGCGGGTGGATCATGAGGTCAGGAGATCGAGACCATCCTGGCCAACATGGTGAAATCTCATCTCTACTAAAATACAAAAAATTAGCCAGGCATGTGGTGCGTGCCTGTAGTCCCAGCTACTCAGGAGGCTGAGGCAGTTAAATTGCTTGAACCCAGGAGGCAGAGGTTGCAGTGAGCTGAGATAGCACCACTGCACTCCAGCCTGGCAAGAGAGCAAGACTCCATTTCAAAAAAAAAAGGAAAAAAACACTAATTCATTACTGTCATACACACGAGTTTGTATTTTATGATGCCTTTTTTAAAGTCAGAGAAAAGAGGTTTGGTGATTTTAAAAGACAAATAGAGTTACATGGATTTGACAAATAAAGAATATTTTTTAAAGTATAAAACCACCTGAACTCTTTTGAGTAAATACAGATCACCAAGGTTCTGATTTAACTGGACAGTATAAACACAGGAAGGAACAGGAGGTTAACCCAAGAGAAATAAGTCATCCATAGAGTGTTTTAGACAGAGAGGTTGTGTCCTCCCAAAATTATTATGTTGAACTCCAAACCTCCAATATGTTGGTCTTTGGAAGTGGGGCCTTTGGGATATAATTAGGTTGAGATGAGGTCATGAAGGTAGGGTCCTCATGAAGAGATTAGTGCCCTTAAGAAAGGGACATCTTGGCCGGGTGCGGTGGCTCACACCTGTAATCCCAGCACTTTGGGAGGCTGAGGCAGGCAGATCACCTGAGGTCAAGAATTTGAAACCACCATGGCCAATACGGCAAAACCCCATCTCTACTAAAAGTACAAAAATTAGCCGGGCATGGTGGCAGGCGCCTGTAATCCCAGCTACTCGGGAGGCAGAGGCAGGAGAATTGCTTGAACCCAGGAGGCAGAGGTTGCAGTGAGCTGATATTATGCACTGCACTCCAGCCTGGCAACAGAGTGAGACTCCGTCTCAAAAAAAAAAAAAAGGGACATCTCCCTCTCCCTCTCTGCTGTGTGATGACACAGCAAGAAGGCAGCCATCTGCTAGCCAGGAAGTGGACCCTCACCAGAAGCTGACCTTGTTGATGCCCTCACCTTGGACTTCCCAGCCTCAAGAGCCATGAGAAATAAATGCCTGCTGTTTAAGTCCCCCAGTCTGTGGTGTTTTGTTACAGCAGCGTGAGCTGACTGAAACAGGTTTTTCTGTATCAGTGATCGGGTCAATATAAAAGGGTACAGGACAGACAGAGGGAGGGACACGAGGACTTCCCTTTCCAGAGGAAAACTACAGTACCTGCTTCTTGAGGCTTCTGTTGATTTTATTGACATCTTTGGCATAAATAGCCAATGCAATTCCTCTTGATGGTAAACAAGTTTACATTCAAATGACTGTTCCCTAGCCACAGACCTGAAACCCTGGTATAGACTGAAAAAAAATATCTAGAAATCCTTCCTAGACACAAAAGTTGCACAAATTTTTAAGATTTGCTTGTTTTTACTCTTCTGACATATTGAATAACTTTTTAAAATATATTATCAATCTTTAAAAGGTTTCATTTGCATATACACCGTACTTGCCTCTCTCAGTGTTTTCATGTCTGTGGGAGAAATACCTCAACTTTTTCTTCTTCTCCTACAAACTTGCCTGACTCTGAATCTTTCCAATTATTTTCCTCTTTTCTCAGAAGTGCCCTCTCTTCTACCCATGGCTGACTTTCTACCTGTTCCCAGATCCATACCCCCATTTCAGTCATCTGTCTCCTTTCTCTTTACCCTACCGATTCTGTTCAACTAGCCTCTAAACACGATCACATCTTTTCCATTAAAAATTAAAACTACACAAAACTCTCCCTCCCCCTCCACACACACACTCAAGCCTCAAGTCATCCCTGGCCGCACGTCTTCTGTATCTCTCCCTTCTTTCAAGACTAAGCTTCTAGAAAGTAGTTTACAGTCACCATCTTCAGTCTGTTTAGTTTCTCCTTAACTCACTGAAAATTGGCTTCCACTCTTGTCATGTTCACTAATATTACCTCAGCCTTCAAAAACATTCGGGCGCTTTATCCTCCTTAATGTGTCCACAGCACTTACAACCTTTTACCACATAATCCTTCACTCACCGAGTTTCTTTAAAAGTGTTTCTGCCCTTGGCTTCTGGTATACTCTTCTCCTCCAGGTTACCTCCCACTTCTAGGTCACACCTCCCTAGTTGTTATCATGGCTCTCTCTCTCCAAATGCAGGGATTAAGCTTTCTTACTCTGTACAATCAGGTCACTTGAATTTGAATATTAACTTTACCACTTCCCAGCTCCTTGACCTTAGGCAAGTCACTTCTCTGAGGTTCAGTCTTCTACTCTACAAGACAAGTATAATGTCTTATAGGATGTAGTTGAAGTTAAATTAAAAAATGCATGTACGTCTCTTGGCACTGTGCCTGGTAGTACATGATAGTGTATCCAGAATTGGTGGGTTCTTGGACTCGCTGACTTCAAGAATGAAGCCACGGACCCTCGCAGTGAGTGTTACAGTTCTTAAAGATGGTGTGTCTGGAGTTTGTTCCTTCTGATGTTCAGACGTGTCCGGAGTTGTTCATTCCTCCCAATGGGTTCGTGGTCTCGCTGATTTCAGGAGTGAAGCTGCAGACCTTCGCAGTGAGTGTTACAACTTTTAAAGGCAGTACGTCTGGAGTTGTTCCTTCCTTCCAGTGGGTTCGTGGTCTCGCTGGACTTTGGAGTGAAGCTGCAGACCTTCGCAGTGAGTGTTACAGTTCATAAAGGTGGCACGTCCAGAGTTGTTCCTTCCTCCCAGTGGGTTCGTGGTCTCGCTGGCTTCAGGAGTGAAGCTGCAAACCTTCACGATGAGTGTTATAGCTCACAAAGGTGGCGCAGACCCAAAGAGTGAGCAGCAGCAAGATTTATTGTGAACAGCGAAACAACACAGCTTCCACAGCATGGAAGCGAACCGGAGCAGATTGCTGCTGCTGGCTCTGGTGGCCTGCTTTTATTCCCTTATCTGGACCCACCCACATCCTACAGATTGGTCCATTTTACCAAGAGTTGATTGGTCCATTTTACAGAGAGCTGATTGTTCCGTTTTACAGAGAGCTGATTGGTCCGTTTTGACAGAGAGCTGATTGGTGCATTTACAATCCTTTAGCTAGACACAAAAGTTCTCCAAGTCCCCACTAGATCAGCTAGACACAGAGCACTGACTAGTGCGTTTACAAACCTTGAGCTAGACACAGAGTGCTGATTGTTGCATTTACAAACCTTGAGCTAAACACAAAGTGCTGACTGGTGCATTTAAAATCCTTTAGGTAGACAAAAAAGTTCTCCAAGTCCCCACCCATTCAGAAGCCCAGCCGGCTTCACCTCTCACTGGCACTCCCTGCGGGACTTTGCGGCACCTAGCCCAGGCACTCTGGCAGCCCAGAGGGAGCTGGTCCCCTGATGAAGCCCAGCAGGTGCCGGCCTCAGAGACTGCAGGGCCCGCTGAGAACGCACCCACCGGGAACCCGCGCTGGCCCGCGAGCGCTGCACGCAGCCTGGGCTCCTGCCCGCGCCTCGCCCTCCACACCTCCCCATGAGCAGAGGGAGCCGGAGACGGCTCCGGCCTCGGCCAGCCCCAGACAGGGGCCGCCACAGTGCAGCGGCGGGCTGAAGGGCTCCTCGAGCACGGCCAGAGCGTGTGCCAAGGCCAAGGAGGCGCCAAGAGCGAGCGAGGGCTGTTAGCACGTTGTCACCTCTCAGTAGGTACTCAATAAAAGTCAGGTGTTAGATGGATTAAACATTTATGTTCCCCATGGCTTCACTCCGATTCCTCTACTTTAATTCCTCTCTCTAGATAACGTCAAGAAAATCCTGACTCCATCTATTTCTTAGTCATTAGATAATAAGGACTCCAATACTTATGTTTCCAGGTTTTATAAAGCCAGTCGTTCATTGACCTTGATTCTTATATGACACACAGGCAAATAGCAAACCTCACATGGACAACACAGAAGATACTATCTTTCCCTCAAAATCTTCCCCTTCCTATATTCTAACCTCAGTTTTTTATTACCTTAATTAGATTAGATTAGAATCACCACCTCTCATCCACCTCACCTACACCAGAGATCTCAGATTCAATCAGTCCCCAAATCCTGGTGATTCTTTTCCTAAATATTTCATAAATACCTCTCAAACATTTTCTCTTCTCCCCATTACCATTGCCACCTTATTTCCCCTATATTACCTCAGTAAACTTTCACCCAGTAATATCTGCCCCCTCTAAATCACCCTCTGTCATTATAGTGGTATTTCTAAAAAGGCAAATTTCTCTCCACATTGAATATTATTTGATGATTCATGATTTGATTTAGAAAAGGTCTAAGTCCTTGACAGAAGAGATCTGTCTCTCGCCGCCACCCTCCCAATGTTATCCACCATTACTATCCCATGAGCACTAATTGATTTGCTATTTTATTACTGCCTCCATCGTTCTTGCTATGGCTTCTGCCTAGACATAATTCTCAGGCCTTCAAAGTTCAACACACGTTACCTCCTCTAGCAATTATTCTTTGACAGCTTCCCTTACAATGCTGAGAGATCTAATCTTTTGTAAGCCAAAAGCCCACTATGCTTAATGATCACACAGTATTTTCAGTTTTCTTATTCTACGAAAAAAATTCGGGTTTGATTTCCTAAAGCCTAGGACAAGCTGAGCACATGAATGATGTTCAATAAATGAATGCTATAATGGATTTGTAATTTATGCTAATGGATTTCATGCTACAAATCCATGATTTTCAAAATTATCTTATAGAATACACTGGACAAGTATAATTAATCCCATTTTATAGAAAAATAAATAGACAAGAGGTTAAAGTCAATATACATGCCTTGGAAGCCCAAGAACTCCCTGGCTAAGGAAAAAAATAATAATGTGTATTTCTTGTTCTGACTATCCGTGTAATGGAGGTTAGCAAAAAACTCTGTTCACATTAGTATTTTATTCCTGAGGTATTTTGTCCAACTGAAATGATTTACTTGGTTTCATACCTTTAGTTAGACATTAAAAGAGATACTTTTATCTGGAAGACTTAACAATAAATGTAATAGCCATATTTGAGTTTAATCAGCCTTTCTTGACCAAAAGCCTTCTCAATTTTTTTAATCTTTCTTTGACATTGGAAGTTGCCTCTTCCAACCATACAATTCTTTGAATCTAGGAACTCTCTCTATTCCTTTTATTTGTGCTTACAAAGTGTCCAATTCATCTTTTTTGAAGTATCTTATCAAAGTAAATAGCAACCAATACACATTACTAACATTTTATTTTCTACCTCTTTCTCTAGAGATACAAATTAAATAGGTACATTAACTCCAAATTATCATGGGAGAAGTTTGTCATTTGTCTAGCCTCTAATATGCTTTCTACTGACCAGCATCCAACCAATAACCCAATGCCATATGTTACAGGCTTTAGTGTAGCAACCCCCATTTCAATATACAATTTGTTTCTCTCAGTGTGGGCTACGTTATGCTGCAGTAACAAATAAGCTGAAATTTGCTGTTTTAACTTTTATTTTTCATTTACACTATATATTCAACGTGGGTCTAGTCATCATACTCATTCAGGGACCCCAGCTGTCCAAATTCCATCTTAACACAAGTTTCCAAGGTTACTGTGGCCAGTATAAGGCCGTAGCAAATGGAACTTTAGTTCTTAAGTTTCCACTCATGTTTTATTAGCAAAAGCAAGTCATGAGTCTTTAGTACTGCACACTGCAATGCTATCATATGCCCGAAACAAGAAGAACCAACGTATTTGTGAACAGTCTTAATTTAATGACCATCATAGTCACATAGTTCTTTAGTGACTGAGGTAATATTAAAATTCCTTTCTCTAACTCTTTGTTTTCTTATCACGTTAATTATCTGTATTAAAGACTATAATGAAACAAATCCAAAAATGTAATACAAAAAGTAGCAGAAATCCTAAAATAATTTCTGTTTAGCATTATATGAATGTTTTGCTGTAGTTACTTCCCTAATAGGGGCTTAAAGAGAGATGCTGCAAAATTCATCATTTTCAACCCTGAATAAAGTATGCAAATGAAATCGTCAAAACCTTTCAGTCTGAAAGTGACTTTCTTCTGTTTTCTGCTACTTCCTTTATCAAAACAGATGGCTACATTGTGTTACTGTTGGTGTCCACACACCACAACATCTATATCTTCTTATAATGCCTTCCCGGATAGGGTCACCAGATATAGCAAAGAAAAACATAAGATACCTAGTTAACTTTAAATCTAGATAAACAACAAATAATTTTTTGTGTATGTTTGTATTAGTCCATTTACATGCTGCTGATAGACATACCTGAGACTGGGAAGAAAAAGAGGTTTAACTGGACTTACAGTTCCAAATGGCTGGGGAGGCCTCAGAATCATGGCAGGAGGCAAAAGGCACTTCTTACATGGCGGCAGCAAGAGAAAAATAAAAAAGATGCAAAAGCGGAAACCCCTGATAAAACCATCAGATCTCACGAAACTTACTCACTACCATGAGAACAGTATGGGGGAACTGCCCCCATGATTCAAATTATCTCCCACTAGGGGCCTCCCACAACACATGGGAATTATGGAAGTACAATTCAAGATGAGATCTGGGTGGGGACACAGAGCCAAACCATATCATTCCACCCCTCCAAATCTCATGTCCTCACATTTCAAAACAAATCATGCCTGCCCAACAGTCTCCCAAAGTCTTAACTCATTTCACCATTAACCCAAATATCCACAGTCCAAAGTCTTATCTGAGACAAGGCAAGTCCCTTCGGCCTATGAGCCTGTAAAGTCAAAAGCAAGCTAGTTACTTCCTAGATACAATGGGGTACAGGCATTGGGTAAATACAGCCATTCCAAATGGGAGAAACTGGCCAAAACAAAGGGATTACAGAGCCCATGCAAGTCCAAAATCCAGCAGGGCAGTCAAATTCTAAAGCTCCAAAATGATCTCCCTTGACTCCATGTCTCACATCCAGGTCATCCTGATGCAAGAGGTAGGTTCCCATAGTCTTGGACAGCTCCACCCTTGTGGCTTTGCAGGGTAAAGCCCCCGTCCTGGCTGCTTTCCCAGGCTGGCATTGAGTGTCTGCAGATTTTCCAGGTGAATGGCGCAAGCTGTCGGTGGATCTACCACTCTGGGGTCTGGAGGATAGTGACCCTCTTCTCACAGCTCCACTAGGCAGTGCCCCAGTAGGGACTCAGTGTCTGGGGGCTGTGACCCCACATTTCCCTTCCATGCTATCCTAGCAGAGGTTCTCCATGAGGGCACTGCCCCTGTAGCAAACTTTCACCTGAGCATCCAGGCATTTCCGTACATCTTCTGAAATCTACGTGGAGGTTCCCAAACCTCAATTCTTGACTTCTGTGTACCTGCAGGCTCAACACCATGTGGAAGCTGCCAAAGTGAGGCTTTCACCCTCTGAAACTATGGGCCAAGCTGTACCATGGCCCTTTTTAGCAAAGGCTGGAGTGGCTGGGACTCACGACACAAAGTTCCTAGGCTGCACACAGCATGGGGACCCTGGGCCTAGCCCATGAAACCATTTTTTTATCCTAAACTTCCAGGTCTGTGATGGGAGGGGCTGCCATGAAGACCTATGACATGCCCTGGAGACATTTACCTCATTGTTTTGGGGATTAATATTCGGTTCCTTGTTACTTACACAGATTTCTGTAGCCAGCTTGAATTTCTCCTCAAAAAATGGGATTTTCTTTTCTATCACATCGTCAGGCTGCAAATTTTCCGAGCTTTTATGCTTTTAACAGCACCCAAGTCACCTCTTGAATGCTTTGCTGGTTAGAAATTTCTTCCGCCAGATACCCTAACTTAACTCCCTCAAGTTCAAAGTTCCACAAATCTCTAGGGCAGGGGCAAAATGCTCCAGTCACTTTGCTAAAACATAGCAAGAGTCACTTTTGATCCATTTCCCAAGTTCCTCATCTCTATCTGAGACCACCTCAGTATGGACCTTATTGTTCATATCACTATCAGCATTTTTGTCAAAGCCATTCAACAAATCTCTAGGAGTTTTCAAACTTTCCCACATTTTTCCTATCTTCTTCTGAGCCCTCCAAACTGTTCCAGCCTCTGCCTGTTACCCAGTTCCAAAGTCGCTTCTACATTTTCGGGTATCTTCTCAGCAACGCCCCACTCTACCAGTACCAATTTACTGTATTAGTCCATTTTCACACTGCTGATAAAGACCTACCCAAGACTGGGAAGAAAAAGAGATTTAATTGGACTTACAGTTCCACATGGCTGGGGAGGCCTCAGAATCACGACAGGAGGCAAAAGGCACTTGTTATATGGCGGGGACAAGAGAAAAATGAGGAAGATGCAAAAGCAGAAACCCTAATAAAACCATCAGATCTCATGAGACTTATTCACTATCACAAGACTAGCATGGGGGAAACCGCCTCTGTGATTCATATTATCTCCCACTGGGTCCCTCCCACAACATGTGGGAATTGTGATAGTATGATTCAAGATGAGATTCAGGTGGGGACACACAACAAAACCATATCAATGTTCCAAATACTGTATGGAATAAATATGTCCTAAATATTGCATGGCACATAGTTTCACTAAAAGTTATTTTTTCTATACTCAGATTTAACTAGGTATCCTGTAATTCATCTGGCCACCCCATCCCCAGAGCCAAGTCATCAATGGCACTAACGTAAATTAATTTCATATAAATATTTATACCAAGTGCACCAAATTTAAACAAAAATATTTGGTCAATGTAACTTGTCAAGAGCCATAGAAAAACATCTATTTGAAATATCTTTTGACAGGATGGATGGACTGAGTATTTCAAAATGTAATTTAGGGATTGAATTATTCTCACCATATCAATGCACTGACAAAACTTATCCGCCGGGTAAGTACTTTTGGAACTGACCTGGGAGTGAGGGCAGGCATGTTAATCATGATGTCCTTGATAGGGAATTCTAGTCACAGTAAAGTTCAAAAGGGTTTGCTACCTCTTAATGGAAATGACAAGCAAATTGTTAAAAAAAAAAAAAAAAGAAGATCTGGGTAGCTACACTAGTTGAAGACCTATCAGCAAGAGAATCAGCTTAAAAAGTAGTTGAAGAACAAAAACAAAGTTGCCAGATACAAGATCAGCAAGGAAAAATCCATGGTTTTCCAAAAACCATGAATTAGAAAATGTAATAGGAAAAAAATGTCATTTATAATAGCAACTACTATAAAATAGGAATAAAACTACACAAATATGAGCAAGATACTCATGTACAAAAAACTCTCAGAAATATGTTTTTTAAATGTTAAAACAAAGACCTGAATAGAGAGATATACCATGCTCATTAAAATAAAGATGTCAACAGTCTCCAGATATGTTAATTTCAGTGCTTCTAGTGCTTCCAGTGGAAGCACTGATATTAACATATTATTTAGAGACTGTCAAGTCCAAGGGGAAAATGGAGCCTGCCCAAGGCTTGTAACTTCAACAAAAAGGGTCTTGCATATTCTTGTGCATTTAGTTTTCTCCATGAAGTTTCGAATCAGTTCATCAAGTTTTGTGAAAAATCATGTTAACATGCTCCATTGTCCCCTTGGACTTGACTTACAAAAAAAAAAAAAGTTTAAGTTAAAATGATTAGTAATTTTGAGACTGAGAACACAGAGCATTAAACCAAAGGCAGGGCCCTCCCAAGTAAGCGGTCCTGTGAGGACATACTGCTAAATACCTACCAGCCTTGCTGCACAAAGAGCAGCTTGTCATCTGTCTCCTCAGGGGATGTCCACAAAGAAAACACATTCACATCCTGGCATTGAAAGTTCTCAGCAATTGTCCTAAAGTGGCGGCCTCCAAGGGACAAGCTTCTGCCTATATACACAGAGCTCCCCAAACAGCCTTTTATACTCTCATTCTGAAAGGATAAAAGGATACCTAAAGATTACTGGTATCTGAAGAAAATTTCCAAAGAAAAGACAAAGATTAAAAAAAAGAAAAGAAAACAAATATGATGCCAGAGGGAAAGAATAATTTAAGGGAATGAAACAATTTTTTTAAATCTCTGATTATTATCCTCAGAAATCTCAAGATGTTATTTTATCTGTAAAATAGTAAAACATTACTTAAAAAAGAAAAGTCAGTAGAAAGCTAGAAATTCTTAAATGTTGAAAATATATTGTCAAGTTAGAAAAAAATGAGTGGACAGTTTGAAAATAAAGTCAAGATATATCCCAAGAAGGAGAATTAAAGGCAGAGAAATGGAAAAAAAAAAAAAAAAGGAACACTTAATTCATATATCTCAAACATCAGACATTCCAATCTAACAGCAATTTTAGGAAAAAAAAAAAGATAACAGAGACAAATGAAAGAAAAATTATCTAGGAAATAATACAAGAAAATCTCCATGAGACTCCAAATTTGAAAGGCCCATATTAAATGAAAAAGACCTGTACTCAGGAAAATCTCTGTAAAGTTTTACAATACAAAGAATAAAGATGCTAAAAGCTTTCATGTAGGGTTTTTTTCTTTTAAAAAAAAAGGTCACTGACATTGAAATAAGCTGATTGTCTTTAGATTGCTTGGAACAGAATACAACATGCCTTCATTACTGCAAGGGAAAATAATTTTCAAACTTGAATTTTTATGCAAACACATTAACAATTAAATTTGAGGATAAATATATTTTTGTGCGTGTCCAGAAAATTTACCCTTCACATACCATTTCTTAGTAAGTTACTTGAACATATCTTGGAGCAAAACTATATGGGAATAAGAAATAAGAGGAAGATACTACAGAAGCAGTAAAATGTCCCAGGATAAAAGCTGGGTGACAGGCCTGGAGAACAATAGTTCTTACTGGAACAACAGAATGGATGGCCCTGAGCAGAAAATTTCTGGGAAAGAAGAATCCAAAAATATTTTATTGAAAGGGGTTTTTTTAAAAAATATAGAGAGAGAATATAAAGGCAAATAATGTAAGAAAACAAGAACAATAAGAAACAAAAACTGAAAGTTTTATTTTAAAAGTATATATAATATACTTTGTATACAGAATGTCTGTGTAGTCATAATAATGTAAATGCCATGTGTTGATTTTTCCATGTTTAGATTCAGCTTGTAAATGAAGCACATATTCCAACTCAACATTTTACAGGGTATGGATTATAATAAAATAAATTGGAAGAGTGGAAAGGCCACTGGTGTTCTCCAGCTGACAGATATTTGAATTCTCCCCGGGACAGAGTTCCCAGGGGGAGGTGTGGACCACCAACTTTGCTGTTTGGGCAACTCAGATGCTTCAGCCTACAGGCTTTGGAGAGTCCAAACCAACCAGGGGTGAAAGCGATGCCCCAGCACAGCACAACTGCTCTACCAAAACATAGCCAGACTGCTTCTTTAAGTGGGTCCCCAATCCATTCCTCCTCACTGGGCAGGACCTCCCAACTGGGGCCTCCAGCCACCCCTGCCGGTATTCTCTGACCAACAGAGATTTGAAAACTTCCTAAGACAGAGCTCCCAGATGGAGGGGCAGGCCACCATATTTGCCATTAGGGTGGCGTAGTCGTTCCAGCCTTTGGGCTTTGGAGAGCCCAAGCCAACCGGGGGTAAAAGCAGTACCCCAGCACAGCACAGCTGCTCTACAAAAGCGTTGCCAGACTGCGTTTTTAAAGGGTCCCCAATCCCACTCCTCCTGACTGGGTGAGACATCCCAAGCAGGGTCTCCAGGCACTTCACACAGTTGCCTTCAGGATGACAACAGATCATTACCTCCTGGGATGGAGCTCTCAGAGGAAGGGGCAGGCTGTTTCACAGACCTCACTGTGATACCTCCAGGTACTGGAAAATCTGAGGCAACTAGACTGCAATGGGCCCCCAGCAAACCACAGTAGCCCTACACAAAAGTGGCCAGCATTTTAAAAGGAAACAAGAAAGAAATTCAAAGGTCAGCAGCCTCAAAGATTGAAGGTAGATAAGCCCACAAAGATGCGAAAGTGAGAAAGAATCTGCACAAGAATGCTGAAAACTCAAAAAGCCAGAGTGCCCTCTTTCTTCCAAACACTGCATCACCTCTCTATCAAGTGTTCAGCACTAGGCTGAGGCCGAAATGGCTGAAATGACAGAAATAGAATTCAGAATATGGACAAGAACAAACTTCACTGAGCTAAAGGAGTACATCGTAACCCAATGCAAGGAAGATAAAAATTATGATAGAACATTACAGGAGCTGAGAGACAAAATAGCCACTATAGGGAAGAATGTAAGTGACCTGATAGAGCTGAAAAACACACTACAAGAACTTCACAATGCAATCACAAGTATTAGCAGCAGAACAAACCAAGCAGAGAAAAGAATCTCAGAGCTTAAAGGCTGTCTTTCTGAAATAAGACAGGCAGACCAGAAGAGAGAAAAAGGAATGCAAAGGAAAGAACAAAATCACTGAGAAATATGGGATTATGTAAAGAAACTGAATCTATGACTCATCGGTGTACCTGAAAGAGATGGGGAGAGTGGAAACAATTTGGAAAACATGTTTCAGGATGTTATTCATCAGAACTTCCCTAACCTAGCTAAACAGGACAACATTCAGGAAATGCAGGGAACCCCAGTACGATACTCTATGAGAAGATCATCATCCCTACACAAGAAGATCATCCCCAAGACACATAACCATAAGATTCGCCAAGGTCAAAATGGAAGAAACAATGTCAAGGGCAGCTAGAGAGAAAGGCCAGGTCACCTACAAAGGAAAGCCTATCAGACTAACAGTGGACCTTGCAGCAGAAACCCTGCAAGCTAGAAGAGATTGGAGATCAATATTCAACATTCTTAAAGAAAAAAAATTCCGACCTAGAATTTCATATCTGGCCAAACTAAGCCTCATAATTGAAGGAAAAATATGATCCTTTTCAAAGAAGTAAATGCTGAGGGAATTCATTACCACCAGATGCGCCTTACAAGAGCTCCTGATAGAAGCACTAAATATGGAAAGAAAAGATGATTGCTGCCACTACAAAAACACACTGAAGTATACAGACCAGTGACACTGTGAAGCAACCACATAAACAAGTCTGCAAAATAACCAGCTAATATCATGATGACAGGATCAAATCCACACATATCAATACTAACCTTAAATGTACATGGGATAAATGTCCCCAATTAAAAGATACAGAGTGGCAAGTTGGATACAGAACCAAGACCCATTGGTAGGCTGGCTTCAAAAGACCCACCTCACATGCAATGACACACATAAACTCAAAATAAAGCAGTGAAGAAAAATCTACCAAGCAAATGGAAAACGGAAAAAGGCAGGGGTTGCAACACATCTGACAAAACAGATTTCAAACCAACAAAGATGAAAAAAGACAGAGAAGGGCACTGCATAATAATAAAGGGTTCAGTTCAACAAGAAGATCTAATGATCCTAAATATATATGCACCCAACACAGGAGCACCCGGATTCATAAAGCAAGTTCTTAGAGACCCTCAAACAGACTTAGACTCCCACACAATAAGACTGGGAGACTTTCACACCCCACTGACAATATTGGACAGATCATCAAGACAGAAAATTAGCAAAGATATTCAGGACGTGAACTCAGCACTGGATCAATTAACCTGATACATATCTACAGAACTCTCGACCCAAAACCAACAGAATATACATTCTTCTCATTGCCACATGGCACTTACTCTAAAATTGATCACAAAATCAGAAGTAAAACACTCCTCAGCAAATGCAAAAGAACTGGAATTATAAAAAACAGTCTCTCAGACCACAGCCCAATCAAATTAGAAATCATGACTAAGAAATCCACTCAAAACCATACAATTACATGGAAATCAAATAACCTTCTCCTGAATGACTTTTGGGTAAATGATGAAATTAAGGCAGAACTCAAGAAGTTCTTTGAAACTAGTAAGAACAAAGATACAATGTACCATCATCTCTGAAACACAGGGAAGGCAGTATTAAGAGGGAAATTTATAGTACTAAATGCCCACATCAAAAAGTTAGAAAGATCTCAAGTAAACAACCTAACATTGCTACTAGAAGAACTAGAGAACCAAGAGCAACTAAATCCCAAAGCTTGGCAGAAGAAAAGAAATAACCAAGATCAGATCTGAACTGGAGGAGATAAGAGAAATGAAAATCATTCAAAAGATCGATAATGACAGAAGCTCATTTGCTGAAAACATTAATAAAATAGACCACTAGCTAAAGTAACAAAGAAATGAGAGAAGATTCAAATAAACACCATCAGAAATGATAAGGGGGACATTACCACTTACCCCACAGAAATACAAACAACCATCAGAATATTATGAACACCTCTATACACATAAACTAGAAAATCTAGAAGAAATAGATCAATTCCTGGGCACATATATCCTCCCAAGACTGAACTAGAAAGAAATTGAGCAGACCAATAACGAGTTCTGAAATTAAGGCAATAAATAGCCTACCAACGAGAAAATGCCCAGGACCAGATGAATTCACAACTGAATTCTACGAGATGTACAAAGAAGAGCTGGTACCAATTCCTGCTAAGACTATTCCAAAAAATTGAAAAGAAGGAATGCTCCCTAACTCATTCTATGAGGCCAGCATCATCCTGATACCAAAACCTGGCAGAGATACAACATAAAAAGAAAACTTCATGCCAATATCCTTGATGAACATCAATGCAAAAATCCTCAACAAATATTGGCAAACTGAATCCAGCAGCACATCACAAAGCTTATCCCCCACAATCAAGTAGGCTTCATCCCAAGGATGCAAGGTTGGTTTAACACACACAAATCAATAAATGTGATTCATCATGTAAACAGAAATAAAGACAAACATCGCATGATTATCTCAATAGAAGCAGAAAAAGGCTTTTGATAAAATTCAACATCCATCCATGCTAAAAACTCTGAATAAACTAGGTATGGAAGGAACATACCTCAACATAATAAGAGCCATCTATGACAAACCCACAGTCCACATCATAATGAATGAGCAAAAGCTGGAAGCATTCCCCTTGAAAATTGGCACAAGACAAGAATGCCCTCTCTCTCCACTCCTATTCAACATATTATTGGAAGTTCTGGCCTGGGCAATCAGGCAAGAGAAAGAAATAATGCGTATTCAAATAGGTAGAGAGGAAGTCAGGCTATCCCTGTTTGCAGATGACATGATCCTATGTCTAGAAAACCCTATCGACCCAGCCCAAAAGCTTCTTAAGCTGATAACTTCAGCAAAGGCTCAAGATACAAAATCAGTGTGCAAAAATTACTAACATTCCTACATACCAACAGTCAAGCCAAGAGCCAAATCATGAACAAAACTTCCATTTACAACAACCAAGAAAAGAATAAAATATCTAGGAATATAGTTAACTAGGGAGGTGAAACATTTGTACAAGGAGAACACAAAACACTGCTCAAAGAAATTAGAGATGACACAAATAGAAAACTATTTCATGCTCATGGATAGGAAGAATCAATATTGTGAAAATGGCCATACCTCCCAAAGCAATTTATAGATTCATGGTATTCCCATTATACTACCATTAACGTTCTTCACAGGTCTAGAAAAAAAAAAACTGTTTTAAAATTCATATGGAACCAAAAAAAGAGCACAAATAGCCAGGGCAATCCTAAGCAAAAAGGACAAAACCGTAGGCATCACGCTACCTGACTTCAAACTATACTACAGGGCAACAGTAGCCAAAACAGTGTGGTATAAGAACAGACACACAGAACAATAGAACAGAACAGAGAACCTAGAAATAAGACTGCACACCTACAACTATCTGGTCTTCAACAAACCTGAGAAAAACAAGCAATGGGGAAAGTACTCCCTATTCAATAAATGGTACTGAAAGAACTAGCTAACCATATGCAGAAAATTGAAACCGGACACCTTCCTTACACCATATGCAAAAATTAACTCAAGATGGATTAAAGACTTAAATGTAAAACCCAAAACTATAAAAACTCTGGAAGAAAACCTAGGCAATACCATTCTGGACATAGGCATAGGCAAAGATTTCATGATGAAGACACCAATAGCAGTTGCAACAAAAGCAAAAATTGACAAATGGCATCTAATTAAAGAGCTTCTGCACAACAAAAGAAACTATCAACAGAGTAAACAGACAACGTACAGCATGGGAGAAACTTTTGCAAACCATGCAGCTGACAAAGGTCTCAGATCCAGCATCTATAAGGAACTTAAATTTACAAAGAAAAAAACAAATGACCCCATAAAAAAGTGGGCAAAGGACATTAACGCTTTTCAAAAGAAGACATACATGTGGCCAACAATCACATGGAAAAAAGCTGAACATCACTGATAATTAAAGAAATGCAAATCAAAACCACAATGAGGTACGATCTAACACCAGTCAGAATGGCTATTATTAAAAAGTCAAAAAATAACAGATGCTGGCATGGTTGTGAAGAAAAGGAATGTTTATACACTGTTGGTGTGAGTGTAAATCAGTTCAACCATTGTGAAAGACAGTGTGGTGATTCTTCAAAGACCTAAAGACATAAATTCCATTACTGGGTATGTATCTAAAGGAATACAAATCATTCTATTATAAACACACATGCATGCATGTTTATTGCATCACTATTCACAATAGGAAAGAATCAACCTAAATGTGCATGCTAATGGCTTAAATGTGCATACTAATAGAATCAACCTAAATGTCTATCAATAATAGACTAGATTAAGAAAATGTGGTACATATATACCACAGAATACTATGCAGCCATAAAAAAAGAACAAGATCATCTCTTTTGCAGAGATATGGATGGAGTGAAGCCAATAACCTTAGCAAACTAATGCAGGAATAGAAAACCAAATACCAGATGTTCTCACTTATAAGTGGGAGTTAAATGATTAGAACACATGGACACATCGAGGGGAACAACACACACTAGGGCCTTTTGGAGAGTGTTATGTCAGAGGAGGGAGAGAGGATCAGGAAAAACAACTAATGGGTACCAGGCTTAATACCTGGGTGATAAAATAATCTGTACAACAAACCTCCATGCTGTAAGTTTACCAATGTAACAAACCTGCACATGGACCCCTGAACTTAAAATAAAAGTTAAAAAGAAGAGTGGAAAGGAAAGCTAAAAAGAGGGGCACATCACCATCATACAAAGTTTACAAGGAGTCCAGATATAATATATATAGTTGATGAGACAAGAAGTTTAATTACTTAAATTATATTTACAAACACAGCCAAGAGAGAAACTTAATGGAATGTTAGGATCATATTGGGGAAAGATTGGGAGGAAAGGCAGCGATGGTGTCAGCAAGGGTAATCATGTTTCACCAAGCAGGAAGTCAATATAGTATCTGACATTAATAACTCATTAATAATTATATGGGTATATATATTATTTAAATATCTGGAGATCATAACCACAGGCAACTACTCAGAGGGGTTGCCTTTGAGTCATGGGAATGGAGCTGGTAGCCATGGTGCAGAAAACTCCATGGCATTTTGTTATAAGATTTTATTTTTTCTGGAATTTTAATCAAGGAAATTTGTTGCTTTAATACAAATATACTAAGAGAAAAAGAAAATGAAATGGGGGAAATATTGAAGTAGATTTGAAAGTACCAGTATCAGAAATATGTAAGACATAGTATTGAATAATAAATGCATGTTAGAGGCAGGCACTTGTGAAATGATTCCATTTATGTTGAAATCCCCCCAAAAAATAAGCAAACAAAAACCCCACAATATAACACGGTAAAACATGTATGGGTGTGTATATGTATGTGTGTGTGTATATATGTATATTTACTTATATACACATAGATATATACATATTATATATGTATTTAAAATGCATTAAAAACCATCTGGAAGTGTCCACATCAAACCACTAACGAGTGTTACCTCTGAAGAACAGATGGATACTTGAGGTTCATCAGAAATGTTGTAATATTTTACAAAGGAAGTAAACGCATGTATTAACTTGTAATTAAAAGTAAATGTTAAAAAAATAATACCAGCAATCGTGATAAGGTTGGTAAGTCCTGGTTAGTGTGTAAGGTTTGACTAGCTTTGATCCAATTTCCTTTTTCATCTCTGCAGTATTACAAAAACATTAGCTGATAAACAGATACTACCTATTGATACTGAAGACACTTTCTTATCTTAAAAAAAATCAATAGCTCCTTCAATAGCTCTTGCAATATCCTTGAATGATTTGGGTTTCTCTGTCTGATCATGTGAGTGCTGTTTGGGGAAGGATGCACACAATTTGCTCTGCTTTAATTTGTTTATCTATTGAATGTGGTTTAATTATAATTATCCAGCGGCCATTAGCATGCACTTTTATGTAGAGAGGAAAGGCAAACTTAAATGTGCACTATCTGAATATCACTGTTTATTACATTTACCAGTGGGTAAAATAACTTTACAACCTTTGCAAGAGTTTAGAGATGCAAATGAAAACATTCAAGCTCCCTTTGTACTAGCATTGTGGATAGAGATGAGTATCATGAGCATTTCGGAAACTTAAATCAATGAAGCAAAGTATTCAAAAGACACACTTGCAAGGAGGTGAAGCAGGTGGTTGCCTTTAGGGCTCCCTTTTCCTGGGTATCCCAGTATGACACCTATTTCAAATGTTTCATCCTGTTGTCTCTATGGGCCATGAAAGTACTCATTGAAATTCAAACAAGGTAGGATGCAAACAAGATCACATGTGGTAATCATACTTTCTGAATCACTGACACAACAGATACTGTTTGCCAGGGTCCAATTCCTAGACATGAAATGGGTTTTCTGCTAAGGTACCAGTTATGGGAGGGCAGCAGGGCAAATTCACATCATATGTGAGAGTTGTTAAGTTTCTGGACAAACGTCAGACTCCCCAGATTATATATCCAGAAATTAGGTCATGGGAGGCAAGGAAGAAGCAGGAATGTGACAGTATTGTCATCCTATCCCATTAGTCTCCCCCTGCCCTGACAACCAGGAGTACAATTCCTGGGGGCAACAGAATGTGACAGCCTGGAATGTATAGCTTGAGTTTGTTGTAAAATAGAAGTGAGTAGATTCACCTCCCTACCAACCTCTGAACTACAGTTAAAAAAAAAAAAAAAAAAAAAAAAGCTGATGCAATGGCCTCTAGTTGGTTCCTTCTTCCACTTGATTTCCATTTGAAATTTTTACTATCCCCTTTGGGCTCCCTACTGTACCACTTCTCTCTGAAGTCTCAGAAAATGGCACCACCTTTCAGTTCAGCAAAGAAGAAAAGAGACCATCAAGAAAGACTTGCTCCATCTCCCTCCTCCCCTGACCACAACAAAGCCCATGTTTTACAAACTTACTTGCATTTTTTTATTTTCTCCCACATCATCATAGTCATAATCACTTCTTCTGAAAAAAGAAGATTCTTCTAACCGTGTTCTGAATTTCATCTTTCTCTGACCTTCTCAGCAACTTCACACCAGACAATTTCTCTTTTTTATCTGGTCTTCAAATACTCCTTCTCTATTAGCCTCTCTATTTATTACACAAACATGTTCAATGTTGTCAGTTCCTGTGTTTCCCTCTAGTTGTCATCCTTTCTCTTGCTTCCCCTCAACAGCCAGAGAGAGAGAATCCAGCAGTGACTATCTCCATCTCCTTACCACTCACTCACTCCTCAAGGCAATCTGCTCCATTCTGTCATCCAAGTACCTCTGATAAAGGAGATCATTGAAGTCATGATGTTAAGTCCTAAATACACATTTAAGTTCCTCCCCCACTAGACCTCTCTGAAGCAGGTGACTCTGATGGCTTCGCCCTCTTTAGAACATGATCTTCCTCGTTTTCATGGTGTCCTCTGCTTTCTCTCCTGTCTTCTGCCCACTCCTTCTTGATGTACTTTTAGGGGGCCCAATACATACTGCCATTCTCTTCCCCACCTAAATCTGTAGCTAACCAGAGACAAACTCAGGAGCCAAACAACTAGAGATAGAAATGTTACCTTTTTATGAATGTACAGGAAGAATAGGGTTTAGATCAGGGTTTCTCCACCTTGGTACTATTAACATATTAGGCAGAAAAAATTCTTTGTTAAGGGAGTAGTGGCTATCCTGTGTACTGTAGGATGTTTAGCAGCATTCCTGGCCTCTACCCACTAGTTGCCAATAGCACCCTCTCCTACCCTCAAATGTAATAATAAAAATATCTCCAGGCATTGCCAAATGTACCCCTAGGGAGAAATGGGTGGCCAAAATATCTCCAAGCTGAGAATCACTGATGAGATATGCAGAGTCATATAGGTCTATTAATATCCTACATGGAATGAATATATTTACTCATAAGGCTCTGGCACAGCTGTACAGCATCAAGGTATCCCACAGAGAAAGGCTTCTCACCACAAGGCATATAAAAGACAGAAACATTGACTCTGCAAAGAAGCAGATTTTGAAAGAAGAGAAAGAGGATAGTAACTAGGTCATTCCTCTGATAAGAATAAAGGAGGGAGCAAGGGGAAATGATGGGGCATGGGGATAAGGGTCTCTCACTACACTGATACTTCATGTGATCCAGTAAGCCAGCATTTAGCCAAATGTTGTCTGTAGGTCACCTACATCATAGTCATGTGGGATGTATTTGCTAAAATGTAGACCCTGGACTCACTGAATCCAAATCCTTGCAGGTAATCTGAGATACTACATTTCTAACAGGCAGTCCAAGGAATTATCATCAACAGCAAGGTTTGGGATCCACTACCATAAACTAAAATCCTCATGTGTCAGGACCACTGTTTACTTATGTCTGCATCCACCAGTCCTGGTCCATTAATAACTAGGAGTATCTGTTGTTCAATAGTAAAAATATTAAACACTGGAGAGTCACTCGATACCAGTGGCCTTTAGTTTTCTTAAGGAGCCTTCAACTTGTGACTTAAAAGTGATGGATAGAAACCTTTGAAAGGTAGTAATTATGAATTAATAATTATTCCACAATCTGAAGAATGAATTAATCAGAGCAGTAATGGCCAGTGCCTGTACGGATAAAATTATACACTAATACTTGAAGTGGGTGATTTAAACTTAAAGAAATAAGATGGACAGAAGTACTAATGAGATCTTAACACTCATTTACATTATGAGTGGATCAAAATAAAATACATGCAGAGTCTCACCCAAAGACAAGAAAAATGCAAGGGTATTAATATAAAAGATGATACATCTTTTCCCTAGTGTTTTATAACAACTCAATTTCTAGGCATTTATGTTAGGCCATTCTTGCATTACTACAGAGAAATACCTAAGGCTGGATTATTTATAAGAAAAGGAAGTTTAATTGGCCTGTGGTACTGCAGGCTGTAAAGGAAGCATGGTACGGGCATCTGCTTGGCTTTCGGGTTGGCCTCAGAGATCTTACTCATGGCAGAAGGCAAAGCGGGAGTAAGCACATCACATGGCTTGAGCAGGAGCAAGATTGTGGGGGGAGGTACCACACTTGTAGACAACCAGATCTCCCAAGAACTTACTCACTATCATTAGGACAGCACTTAGACATGAGGCATCACACCCATGACCAAAACACCTCCCACCAGGCCCCACCTCTAACATCAGTGATTATATTTCAGCACGAGATCTGGGGGGACAAATATCCAAACTATATCAGAATTTAAATCTGAAAGCTCACAATCGATCTTCTACATCTTTAACAAAATCTCCAAATGTTATAAAAGCATAATGTCCCCATTTAGCTTTGAACTTAGTTATGCTCCAGTTTCTACCTATATCACCATCTACTTCAGCCATATCCTTAAAAACATTCCTTTGCTGTTGATGGTTAGGAATTTTCTTTGCTGCTGATGGTTAGGAAGAGAACTTCATGGCAGACATACTTACCAAATATTCCATTTGATCTCCATTGTCCTCTGTATTTCCTAGTCTCCTTGCAATTAGGTGAAGTTCCACAATCATTTCTTACCAGTGAAGTGGAAGTGACATTGATATATGCTGCTTCTAGTCTAAGGCAATAAAAAACCCATATGAAATCCCACAGCCCTCTCTTTCCTCCATCATGGTTACTGAAAAACTAAGGACGCTGAGTGTTTCAGATGGGGAGCCAGAATGTGGTGATGGCTGGGTCCCTAAGGGACAATGCAGGACTCAGTGCCCTAGCAACCCTGTGGAAACATGGATTGCAAATGAAAAATAAACCTTTATTAGATCAACCACTGAGCATTTAGATTATTTGTTTCTGCATCATAACTAAAGTAATACAAATATTTTTTAATATAAATATAAATATTTTTTAAATAAACATTTTCTAATATAAACATTTTCTCCATTCTGCATTGGAAGAAGAGGTAAGAATCGGCACACACAAATATGAGCACTATCTACTCTGCAAACATGTACAGATTTCTGGATATTGGAAACTAAAACCATCCAGGAACTAATTTAATAGTGATATTTAGAAAAGCTCCATGACATTGATCAAGGCAATGATTTTATTTTTTTAGATATGACCCCAAAAAGAAAAGGGACAAAAACAAAAGTAGACAAATGGAATTACGTCAAACTAAAAAGCTTCTGCACAGCTAAAGAAACCATTAACAGAGTGAACAGAGAACCTACAAAATGGGAGAAAATACTTGCGAACCATATATTTGATAGGGGGTTTAATATCTCAAATATAAAAGAAACTCAATAGCAATAAAACAAATAATATGATTTTTTTTAATGGGTAAAGTATTTGAATAGCCATTTCTCAAAATAAGACATACAGGCCAGGCACGGTGGCTCACACCTGTAATCCCAGCAATTTCGGAGTCGGAGGTGGATGGATCACCTGAGGTGCGGAGTTCGAGATCAGCCTGACCAACATGATGAAACTCCGTCTCTACTAAAAATACACAATTAGCCGGACGTGGTGCCGCACACCTATAATTCCAGCTACTTGGGAGGCTGAGACTGGAGAATCTCTTGAACCCGGGAGGCGAAGGTTGCAGTGAACCAAGATCATGCCAATGCACTCCAGCCTGGGCAACACGAGCAAAACTCTGTCTCAAAAAAAGAGGACGTACAAATGGCCAACAGGCACATAAAAAATGCTCAACATCACTAATCATTGGAGAAATAAAATTTAAAACCACAATGAGATATCACCTCACACCTGTTAGAATGGCTACTACCAAAAAGTTAAAATATAACAAATGTTGGAGAGGATGTGGAGAAAAGGGAACTCTTGTACGTACACTGTGGGCAGAAATGTAGAGTGGTGAAGGTATTATCGAAAACAGAATGGACGTTCTTCAAAAAGTTAAAAATAAAACAACTCTATGACCCAGCAATGCCACTACTGGATATACATACAAAGAAAATGAAATCAGCGTATCAAAGAGATATCTCCACTCCCATGTTCACTGCAACAGATTCACAGTAGCCAAGATATGGAATAAGCTAAATGCCCATCGGCACATGAATGGGTAAAGAAAATGTGGTATACATACACAACGGAATACTATTCACCCCTTAAAAAAATCCTGTCAATTGCAGTGACATGGATGAACTTGGAAGACATTGTGTTAAGCAAAATAAGCCAGGAACAGAAAGACAAATACCACATGATCTTATATATGGAATCTAAAAACATGGAACTCATATAAGTAGAGAGTAAAATGGTGGTTACCAGGGGCTGGGGAGTGGGAATGGTTTGAGGAGATGTTGGGCAAAGGTTATAAAATTTCAGTTAGACAGGAGGAATAAGTTCAACAGACTCTAGCATCCAACACCATGACTACAGTTAATAATGTACTGTATTCTTGAAAATTGCCAGGAGTATATTTTAAGTATTCACACAACAAAAAATAATAAGTACATGAGGCAATGCATGTATTAATTAGTTTGATTTAGCCATTCCACAATATATACATATTGCAAAAATTTTGTTGTACATGATAAACATATATAATTTTTATCAATTAAAAATAATTAACTGATTTTTAAAACAAAACTAAATGAATAATGATTCCTCATAAGATATTTTAGCAGAGGAAGTCTGGGGAATGGTCTATGTTTCCTCTTGGAAAGATCCATGTTCTTCAACATGGTAAAACCAAAATGTTGGCCTCATTATGCCTGATTTCAGTTCTATTGTTTAAAAACCCACGTGAGGACAAAAAGTTCTTGTGGAAAAATTATAAACATCTTATTGACTAACCCAAATTCATCCAGAATACATTTTATCTGGGGTTTTATATATCCATAAAGGTTTTATAAAATATACAGAATCAACTGTTTTCTCTGCTGAAAGTGACCAGTTATCTAGAGGGTTATAGGATATAGGTATTGTGAAGGAAACAGACTTTTTAATTACACAAATATAAAATTGCCATTGTTCTAAGTACTAAATGCTATGAAGGAAAAACATGCTGTCATGTGACAGTATAAAAATCAAGGAACTTGACCTCGTCAAGGAGATCAGGGAGGGCTTCCCAGGAGTGGTGACGATTGGCCTGAGATCTCAAGAAAAAACATCAGTTGCACAGAAGACCAAAAACTGAGGTATGGGTGAACATGTTCCAGTCAGAGGATATGGCTTATAGCAAAAAAAATATGGAATGTTTGAGAATTTAGAGAAGACTAGTGTATGAATAATCACAGAGAAAAGTAAACGCTCATTCCCTCCATGTACCGAAAGTTAATAACATTCTTGTTCAGAAATATTCAGAAGAACAGGAAAACAGAGTATTTCCTATGAACTTTTTTGCTCTTTCCTTCTCTTTAAGTTAAAATAAATCTCTTCAAAGAGAAAAAAAGGCAAATTGCCAAAGAGTATATATAATGTGATTCCATTTGTGAATATTCCTGGAAGGACACATGTATTAGTTATTTTCTGCTGTCTAACAGTATTAGCACAAGCTTACTAGTTCTAAATTACACTCATTTGTTAGTTCACAATTTCTGTGAGTCAGGAATCCTGAATTGGCTGAGCTGGGTCCTTTGCTTCAGTGTCTCTCACAAGGCTACAATCATGCTGTCAGTCAGAGCTGGGATCTCATCTACAGCTCCACTGGGCAAGGTTCCATTCCGAAGTTCAAACAGATGTTGGCAGGATTCAATTCTTTACAGGTCTTTGGAATCAGGGCCACCGCTCCTTGATGACTTTTGGCAAGAGGTCACTCTCAATTTCTTCCACATGGACCTCTCCACATCTGTATGGCAGCTTACTTCATCAAAGCCAGCAAGGGGAGTTCTACTGAGAAAGCCTAGCAGCAAGACCAAAGTTACAATCTTACATAACGTTACCACCGAAGTGGCATTCCCTCACCTTGACCATATCTTATTGCTTAGAAGCAAGTCACAGATGCTGCTCACACTCAGAGAAGAGGATTACACTGAGTCTTGCATGAAGGAGGTGGAAATCACCAGGGCCATCACAGAGTCTGTCTGCCATAATACACAAAACATTAGTAATAGGGCATATTTCAGGTTGAGGGCTACAGGGTCTAGGAAGGAAGACTGTCCCTATTACTTTACATCTTTTCAAGTAATTTGCATTTTGATCCCTCACATGCATTAATTTTTATTTTTAGTAAATATTTTCACACTGTTCCTGCTTTGATGGGAGAAGATGGAATTAGCACTTTCCCAAATAGATAGAAGGTTATATCTCTCTTGGCATAAGGTAAAGCCATACGTGAGGCATCTGTTTCTCCATCATCAAAACGACATGCTGGGATGTAATGGAGAACACAGGAGTGTGTTTGTTTGTTTTAACTCAGTTATTTGTACAATGGCTCCCATTCTCTGGGATGTTCTAACTAAATAAGTCAGTCTAATAACAACTGAAAAGAGTTTGAAAATTTGGAATATTCTGTGATTAAATATAATTTACACAGTTTTGTTCATTAATTCCACAAATATTTGGAGTTCCTATTATGTGTTCAACATTGCATCACTCTTCATAATGAACAATATTTAAATAAATTTTTCATATAATTTACCAATTTTGTCTTTGACAAGAATATTAAAATGAATGCTGTAATTTTATGAGGAAAAAATGATGCCAAAAATAGTCAATAAAAAGTCATGCCTCAAAACCATTTTGATTTCACCTACCACTACATTGTTGGCATAGATCAAAGGACCCTAAACTTATTGGTTCAGCACCCTTCATGTCTCAGTAATTATTTCATATGCCAAAAGAAATATCTAACCTTTTCATTAAGATTAGGTCCAAAAAACAAGTATTTTTGTCCTAAAAGCTAAGTAAATATTTGAAAAATAACACATATAACTTGAAAGAAAAATTGTATTTTCACACTGACCAATGTGAGGTATGCACTTCATGGGCATTAGAGCTCTCAAATTTTGGAATTAAATGAGACTCTGCCACCTTCATTTGCTGTTCCACCTTGATTTTTCTGAGGTGCTTGTGCTTGTTTTTTATCACTGGAACCTCTGATCTTCAGTGATATAACATAATTAAGAAGAATGTAGTGCAATCTAAAGTTGGAAATGTGAACTACCTTTAGTAGTCGATACAATATCCAAAAGATGATGAATATTGTGGTTTCCTTCAATGATTCAAAATATCCTGAGGTGCCCCTTTACTTCAGTGTCTTGGGGCACCTAGGCACCCAGTTAGGGAATTTGAGGCAAGAATGTAATACATATTTAGGAAAAAGAAAAATCTACAATCAAAATCCACATATCCATTTGTAATTTTCTACAGGAATCCTTCTAGTAAAGTAAAAGTTCAATTAAATCCAATTTGACTGCTGATATATTAAGACCCTAAACCAGGGTGAAGCAGGCAAATAAAGAAATTAAAGTTAAAGGTTTTATCAAATTTATTTTTTATTAGTGGCAAACACTAATAATATACAGGAAACTGCGTGTGCTTCTAATAGTTGTGTTGCATTAACAAAAGCAATTTATTCTTCTGGTTCCAATCTTTTATTATTTGAAATAAAACTAAAACTATAAGCATTCTGGGCAGGTAGGTTCTAAGTTAATCAACACTCACAGAGAATTTCAATGAGTTACTTGAAAATCTATCTTTATTGAAGAAGAGACATGATGTCTAAATTCTTACTCCAGGTATACAGAGAAAAAGACAGGCTCTGCTCTCCCTCTAATCTTGCTATGCACTCTGATGCAATTTGTTCCCCAGGAAAGCAAGTACATAGCCATTAATCTCTTCTGAACATAACTGACCTTTGTCCTGTTGACCTTTTTCCTCAGTCTATGGATGGAAATTTCTCCTGCCAAACATCTTGGAGAAGCTGCAAAAGTATCCCTACCAGAAGTCTCTCCCTGTGGAGAATGAAATTAGGTAAAGCTTGCAGAGTGAGTAACAAATTGAATTCATTTAACTGAATTGCTATCTCACCAATAAGGCTCATCTCAAAGCACAAGCACAAGTTTAAGAGCAGGAATAGCATCAACAAGATGAATTGTGTTCTCAGACTGCATGGCAGAGCTAGATGCTGACGATGCGACTACTGGAAGGTGAACCAGTGAGTCAACTTCTTTTTTGAACTGTCTTGGTCTCCATCGCACAATTTTAGAAAAATAGCTTGTCTTTGTCTAAACAGTTCTTTCCATCTCTGTAGCAGATTTTTCTTTTTTTTTTCTTTTTTTTGTTTTTTTTTTTCTTTTTTTTTTTCTTGAGACGGAGTCTCGCTCTGTCACCCAGGCTGGAGTGCAGTGGCGTGATCTCGACTCACTGCAAGCTCCGCCTCCCAGGTTCATGTCATGGTCCTGTAGCAGATTTTTCTATTGTGCAATTGCATGATTAGAAGAGTAAATCTTCTGGTAGATGAAAAGTCTGAAGAAAACAGTTCTTCACAGTGACATTTTCAAGGCACTGGTGCCTGTATTATCTGTCAAGTCTAAAGACACTTTACAAAAATGAGTTAGGAAGTATTTTCACACAAAATTCACAACAAATTAGGACACATTTCTATTATGTAACACAATCTGGGTGTCAATCTGTCACATTATGGTATCTGTCCCTGCCTCAGAATGGAGTCATCATTGACTCATGAACCAGGTCT
This sequence comes from Homo sapiens, assembly GCF_000001405.40. Lineage (NCBI taxonomy): Eukaryota > Metazoa > Chordata > Mammalia > Primates > Hominidae > Homo > Homo sapiens. Next base: position 53,284,389 of record NC_000002.12, read on the forward strand.
TAGGTTTCTAAAGGTCTTCTTCACACATAAATACAAACCCATGCTTTTATCTAACAATACCTATGATGGTGCAAGCACATTCAGTCAGCCTAGCTTCCAAAGAGGAAGCCTGTTTTACTGTGATAATATGCATCCTTATCTCCCAGGCACTTACTATTCCAATTTGGATACTTCCTCACTCCACAAATGGCAAGTAGCATGGAAGCGCACACAATCTTTGGACTCAGTTCAACCTAAGTTTGTTTCCAGTTCTGCCACTCTCTAGCTGTGAAACCATTAACAGTACACCTTACCACTCTGAGCGTCAGTCTCCTCTTTAATGAAATGCTTTTACCTCGGCTGGGCGCAGTGGCTCACGCCTGTAATCCCAGCACTTTGGGAGGCCGAAGCGGGCGGATCACGAGCTCAGAAGATAGAGACCATCCTGGCTAACACAGTGAAACCCCATCTGTACTAAAAATACAAAAAGTTAGCTGGGCGTGGTGCCAGGCGCCTGTAGTCCCAGGTACTCGGGAGGCTGAGGCAGAAGAATGGCATGAACCTGGGAGGCGGAGATTGCAGTGAGCCGAGATCACACCACTGCACTCCAGCCTGGGCAACAGAGTGACACTCTGTCTCAGAGAAAAAAAAAAAAAAATGCTTACCTCAGTTATTTGCAGAACTAAACATATAGTATGCCCAGTAAATAACATCTATTAATGATTATGTTCTCAAATAGGTCTTACCTATCTTTTCTACAAGTTTAAAGACTATGGGACTTTTCTGGCCAAATTCTAACTTTAAGAAGTCCTCTTCTTCTAGACATCTTTCAAGATTACAAGGAACAATCATCTAACCTGAAGCATTCATACCTACTTTATTTAAGGCAAGGTTTGAGGATGTGAAATCTGCACTGAGTTGATGACTACACAGTACTCAGGAAATATTCGGGACAGAAGCACAGAGGTGAATATAAATTCAACAACCTTAAAGAGTGAGCAAGTGAGTGAGTGAGCGAGCAAGCAAGCGAACGAATGAGCGATCGTAAATTCCACAACCATTCCTATTTGAGTTTCCTATAGACCTCAATAATTAGCAGTCTCTCGAAAACTGAAACTCCATTCATCTTAAAACTGCACACCTATCTTAATGACTAAGTCAGAGTTTTCCTTGCACGTATTAAAACAAAGTAGGCAACATTTCCTGACTATACAATATCAAAACAGGTAAAGAAATTGTTAATTTTATATTTCAGGAAAATCATTTTGTCTAAAAAAATTTCTAATTCCACTATTGATATTGTTTGGCTGTGTCCCCACCCAAATCTCACCTTGAATTGTAATAATCTCCATGTGTCGAGGGTGAGGCCAGGTGGAGATCATTGAATCATGGGGGCAGACTCCCCCTTACTGATCTCATGGTAGTTAATAAGTCTCACAAGATCTGATGATTTTATAAATGGGAGTTCTCCTGCACATGCTCTCTTGCCTGCTGCCATGTAAGTCATAACTTTGCTTCTCTGCCTTTTGCCATGATTAGGAGGCCTCCACAGCCATGTGGAACGCTGAGTCAATTAAACCTTTTTCCTTTATAAATTACCAAGTCTTGGGTAGGTCTTTATTAGGAGCATGAGAACAGACTAATGCAACTATTAATCTGATACATTTCTAATATATTAGAAAGTAATATAAACTTCCTAATTTTATGCTTAATCTCTTATGATACTTTCTCAGTTTCCAAATATTTCGGAAACATTTCAACAAATTCCAGTAGCTAATCTACATTGAGCAATGTACTGTCTCTCAGAAACTCTGTTGTTAGTGAAGAATATTATAATGAAATATTAAACAATTAGAAGGTAAATGCCAAGTAGAAATTAAGTTTATTTTAGTCAGTCACTATCCTAGGGTAATATCTGTAATGTTATGAGATATTTAATCACAACTATGTAAAATCATATGCAGCAAGAATTTTAAAAACCAGATTTCACCTGTTAGTCCTATTCTCAGCTAGTAAAAGAACTAGCTAACTTAGCTAACTAGAGAAAAGTTTTCATACAGCATTTAAAAATTTATAAAATTAATTCATGGTGACATCACCATGAATTTACTCAGATGACATAATAAGCATGAGACTTGACCACTATAAAAACATAATTACAAATACAGTCATGCATCACTTCACAACAGAGATATGTTCTGAGAGATGTGTCATGAGGGATTGCATCATTGAGTGAACATCATAGAGGGTACGTACACACACCTACATGATAACAGCCTACTGCAAACCCAGGCTATATAGTAGAGCATATTACACACCTAAGCTACTTCACTCCGAGACTAAAAACCTGTACAGCATGTTATTGTGCTGAACACTGTAGGCAATTGTAACACAATGGCAAATATTTTTGTATCTAAACATATCTACAGTAGAAAAGCTACAGTAAACATATGGTATTACAATGTTATGTGAAGACCATCATGTATGTGGCTCATCATTGACTGAAATTCCATGTCACACATGACTATAGTTATTCATCTTCTTAGAGAAAAATTATTTACAGGCAGGAGATATGCTTGATCATGTTCATTTCCTCTGCTCTCCATATAATCCATCTTTAATGGAGATAGACAGAATCCTCATCTTTTATGAAGTTGCACAGTTTCCTTAATCAGTAGAATCTAAGCAAATGATAAAAATCACTTTACACTGCAATAGAGAATGCTGTCTGTGAACGAAGTGCTCTTCAGGAACTAAGAAATTTCAATATTAATAAGAGAAATGCATATGACTGTTTCCACTGCCTAGAGGAGGTTAGTGAGCAAGTTCTGCTAAATAAAGTGAGACTTAATAAATACTTTAATTCAATACATTGCCCTAATAATTCTTCAGTGATATTATTACCAACATAGGGCACTAAGGACCCTGTAGATGGTAAGCCTTCTTTTTTGACACCATGGAGCACAGTGGAGTTGTAATAGGTTTTAACCTCACATTAACACCATATACTTAGTCTCTAAATGAGTTCCTAATTGACACCTTTGAAGTGATCCTTATTTTAGAAATGTAGGAAACATTCCATGCTACAAATTCAAATAGTGACACACTTCTGAATTAAAGAATACTGCTCTTTACAATATCATCATTTTCTAAATAAAAATATTTATATGTCCCCATAAATATTTGAAAGATTACACTGCAACACCTTCATAACTATTACCTATTTGGAAAGAAAACTGGTACTTTTCTCAGTTTTGTTTTTCTCTCTTTTCTACTTTTACTATAATGAACATAAACTGATAGCTATTTAAAAAACATTTCAGAAAAATAAGATTCTTGTTCAGAAATTAATGTAGCTTATACAATACCAAAAAAAGTAGGTTCTGCCATTTTTACCATCAACACCAAAGTGCATAAACAAGATACCAATCTGCTAAACAACATTCTAAATATAACCAGATTAACTTCCAGATGTTCATTATAAATGTTATCAATGATCACCCAGCATTCTGGAAAGTGCTCTTTTTTAAAGTCCACAAAAAATTATTATGTGACTTGGAGCTATCTCTTTATTAATGAGAAAAAAACAAAGTAAAGCAGTTTTATCAAACTAATATAAGATTTCTCCTCACACAGACTGTTGAAGAGTCAGAAAGTCAGACACAATTATAATTAGAAATGGACCAGATGTGATATCTAAGTTGGAGAGCTAAGACAGCCAAAATTCATAATATTGCTGCTTTCAAATATTGATGAGTGTCTGCAGAAAGAGTATAGCATGAGAAATGATGGACTTTGGTGGAAGGGTTTTTGAAGGCATGAGATTTCTAATAGAAAATTGAATGAAACTTAATAGAATAGCCAAACTTGCAATGGGCAATTGAGAGGGGCTAAATGAAGTAGAAAAATTAAAACTGTTTCCTATAAAACTGAATATACAAGTGTACTCTGATTTGTATAATGTGGAGTACACATAAATATTGAATTGTGCTACTTATTAATAATAAATTTAAAGGATCTTAAGATCCATAAAAGAAACTTGTAAGAAAGAAAATGCAACTTATCCAGAAACACTGCAGTATCCTCTAAAGAAATCAAAAGGTAGAATCATGACCAAAACAAAAACCCTGACACTTCCTATACAGTGCATATCTAAAAACATAAATATTACTGCTTCTCCTCAATTCACATTTTTTTTCCTAAGTTGGGCCTACATTTACATATTATACTCTGCCTGGGTATTCAGAGATTTTAAAATAGGTATATGAAAACAAAGCCTTCAAAACAAAAAATACAGGACATTTCCAAATCATGTATAACTCATAAAAATGCCTCCTTCCATTTCCACTTCAGCCTATCAAAGATCACCAAAGAGTGTGGAATTTAAACTTGTATAGGTTCCAATGAGGAAGGGAAGAAATTTAAAAGCTTGCAGTAAACTTCAAGGTAAAAGTAAAATATTGAAGAATACCAGGATTCTGGAATTCCTAACTAATGTTCTAGCAGAATGTATAAAAGTGACAGAAAAATAAACATTCTCTCGGGATCATAAAAACAGCTGGTTCTATCACTTCAAGAAATAAATAAGAAAGAAACAAAGTTCTATTTCTTCAAGGGAAATAAGAAACAAAGATTATGAGTGCTGCCTTGTTGAGAAATCTACCACTGCTACATTCAAATTACCTGAGCTCCACCTTCTCCAGTAGTCATTTTTTCACAGTGATTCTGTGTTATTCACACAATCTAAAATATAACACCTCCTATGTACCAGCATATCTTTCTCTCGTTTTAATTATTTTTTAAATTTTCACTTTGCTACATTAAGAACAGGATGAGAATGAACATTTAGGAAGTTCTTGGCACCGTATTCAATGTTTTATGTATATTCTCTCATTTAATTTATTGATCTAGACTTCCACTACATAGACATGCATTTGAGTTATCAGACATCTTCTGTCAAAAATGTAAACCCTTCTGAAAGAGTTGAGCCTTTATTTTCTACTCACATTGACTTGCAAATGTAAGGTAAGTTTTGTGAAGGGAGAATAAAGGGGGAATAGGAAATGAGGGAGGCACTTCTGGACCACCATTTATGACTCCCTGTGGTGCAGTGAGGCATCCCCCAGTAGAATTCCCCAGTGAGGAACACAGAGGCAGCACCAGGGTGCCTGAGCAGAACACTATTAGGAGATGAGAGGGGGGTGCAGAAGGAAAGTGGGAGGATATTTGAAAGAACTTCAGTTTCAAAATTGTCTTAGGAGACTGTGACAGAATCAGGAAAATAAACCATTTGTCTTTTCTTCCTTCCTTCTCTTGTTCCAAATTTAAAAAAAAAAAACTGATACTATTTACTCAGTGGATAATGTATGGGCAGTTTAAGGCTGGCTAGGAATGTGACTTGCCATTATACATACAGCTATGCTTCTTAATTCCATGTATCTATCTGGCTTTCAGCTAATTTTTAGAATATGAGTCATGTCTAATTTCATAACTACTTTAATAAACTCTATAGATTAGCAGGTATTCAAAACCTAAGAGTTATGGTCCTGAGAATTTCTGTGGTTAAAAAAAATTGGAAGTTGAAAAATATAAGATGTTTGGGGGACTATAAAGGTGAGGAATGAACTCACATATGAAATTATGAAAGCCTTTGTATATATTTTTTAATCTTCTGAAATAAATCATCACCACCATCCAACAAAGTAACTGTGTATGCAGCATAAAAGAGGAAGAATGGACACTTCATAAACTTTCACTTACTCTTTGTACACCTAGAAATTATCAGAATTTCCTTTTGCTATATTTTAATTATATTTTTGCAATTAATTTAGCTTCATTAAATATAATAACCCCTTCTTTCTCCTCCTACTTCTTTATGCAAAGTCTGACGCTTTTTCGATGCGATGATTTCAAATAGTTGACTCTGCCTGTCATCTGTTCTCAGTGAAGCCCTCAAAACACAGCTTCACACCCTGTCTTCAGGCAGCTGCAAAATCACAGCTTTGAGGCCTGTAACTTTGTTCCCTCCTTTCAGCATTTTTATGTCTTCTAAGGTTTCATTAAGAAACCTTACATTTGCTCTCCCAGACGCTTACTTCTTTTTTTCACTTTCCAACTTCAATAGCCCCCTTTTTTCAATTATCATTAGTACATATAAAAACTGAAAATCTTAGAGCTGCCAAAAGATATTCAGAAATAAAGCCACAAACGTGTGCCACAAAATGACATTTCAGTCAATGCCAGCCTGCGTACATGATGGTGGTCCCATAAGAATATAATATCGTATTTTTACTATGTCTTTTCTATGTTTAGATACACAAACACTTACCATTGTATTACTATTGCCTACATCATTCAGTACGGTAACATACTGTACAGGTTTGTAGCCTAGGAGCAATAGGTGAGATCATATAGCCTAGGTGCGTAACACTCTATATCATCCAGGTGTGTGTAAGTACACTGTATCATGTTCACACAAAGACGAAATCTCCTGACGACACATTTCTCAGAATATATCCTCATATCCTCGTTGTTGAGTGATGCGTGACTGTATATTTAAAAGACAATGAAAGAAAACCAGAGATTGGAGAACAATACGTGTAAAAACTTACCAATACATAAATATTCATCAAAATCGTTCATTAAATTTTGATGGAATTTTAAGTATTGATTGAGAACATGTAATTTTATTATAATAATAACTGCATTGCTTGTCCTCTCCATAAACACACGCACACAGGAGGAACACTGTCCTTGGTAGTGTAAGAAATGCCTTTGGAGAAAGTAGGGCATTTGGGGAGCTCTCCGTGTCCTAAGTCTGAAGGCGAGTCTCAAGAGAAGAGCTACAGAGCATTTCCCTGGAGAATGATCTGAGTGCCCAGAGCCTCAGCATCCTGGACAAAAGAATTCTGAAAAATGGCAGAAGATAGAGAAAAGGACAACATGAATTAAAAAGTTGTCTTTTCCGCAACATGGTATTTTTAAGACAGGTACTGTCTAAATAGAAATAAGTTTCTGAAACTATCTTTCTAGTACAAATGAGCATTTATGAATACACATACAGATGCTTCTCAACTCACAAATGGGTTACATCCCAATAAACCCGTCATTATCATTAAGTCAAAAATGCATTTTTACACCTAACCTACCGAACATCACAGCTTAGCCTAGCGTACCTTAAACATTCTCAGAACACTTACATTAGCCTACAATTGGGCAAAATCATCTGGCAACACAGTCCACTGTAGAATATTGTCTGTTTACCCTTGTAATCACATGGCTACCTGGGAGCTGTAGCTCACTGCCCCTGCCTAGTGTCACAAGACGGCATCATACAGCATATCAGTAACTCTGGAAAGAAATCAAAATTCAAAATTTCTACTGAATGTGTATCACTTTCACACCATAAAGCTGAAAATCATATCTTGAAGCATCATAAGTCAGAGACCGTCTATATGCTACAGAAGTCTCTACCAAAGACACTATACCCATAAAATGAAATTAAACTTTTGTAAATGGATGCACAGATATAGTAATATGAAAATCTAAATATGGACACACAATATATATTTTACCCTACTCACTATCAGTCTATCTTCCTTTATTCTGTTTTTCTTCTACTTCATGAGAGTTGCTATCTAAAATTGTGTGTTTATGTGTGTTTAGTTTTCTTTGTTTGTATTTTTTATCTCTATCATAAAGTACAAGCTCCATGAGGGCAGAAATTTTGTCTTCTACTGTGTTGCCAGCACCTGGAAGAATGTTTAGGCCACATAAGGAGTTCAATAAATATTTTTTCAATGAACAAATAACCCAAACATTTATACCCTCTTGTGTGGACTATTGCAACAGCCTCCTAGCTTTTTTTCCTGTGTGGCAGAGAGGAGTAAAATTCCATTTTCCAATTCCCTTGAAGTTAGATTCAAGCCACGTGACTGAATTATGGCCAGTGGTATATGCTCATTTACCATGCACTTCCAGACTCCCTGCTAATCCTCCATTCACTCTTTTTCCTTCTGCAACAATCTTGAAAGCCATGTGTTGAATCGAGACAGCAGCATCACATGCTGAAAGAAGTTTGAGTCCCTAAAACACAGCGCAGGGTAAAGCCTTGCCCTACCAACTGTACTGGTCTGTGAAGTAAATTGTTTTGTTGTGTTAAGCCACTGTGATGTGGGCTGCTTGTTAAAACAGTTAGCTTCTTATCAATACAATTTTCTTGGTACCCTACAAGCCATCCCTAAAGAGCAACCAAAATGAACATGTTCAAACAGAAATCAGACTATGTCACTTCCCAATAGCTTACTATCACAATTAAAATTGGATTTCCTTCTAGGCCTATAAAATCCTGTAGGCAGTCTGATTCCTGTCTACAATGTCAACCTTATTTCATGCCTTTCTCCATTTTATTCTCTGTAATATACCCAAACAGGTCTTTCTTCTAGTCCTCAAACATGCCAAACCAATTTATTCCCACATCAGTACTTCTGTACCAGCTGTTTCCTCTTCAGGCCTCAGATTAAATGTCACCCCCTCACAGAGGCCTATCTTCCCTCCTTTAACCTATACTGGTCCCTATTCCTGCCTACTATCTGTAGCTGTCTGTCATATTACCGCATTTTATGTTTTATTTTTCTCATAACATTAATCCCACATGCAATTATCATATTTATTTGATTATTTATTGCTTGTTCTTTAACTCAGCATTAAGCCTCTGACAGGAATAACCTTTATCATCTTACCGCAACACCTAGAATAGTGCCTGAAATGTCATGAATGAATGAATGAGCAAATAAATATGCTCATCTAAATATTAATAGGGGCCTAATCTGTACTAGAGAAAAAACACACCTAGTAGATATTTACAGAACATTTCATCCAAAGGCTACAGAATATACATTCTTCTCCTCAGCACATGGCTCATTCTCAAGGATAGATTACACGTTATGTCACAAAACAAGCCTTAACACATTCCAAAAAAACTGAAATAGTATTAAGCATCTTCTCTGACCATAATGGAATAAAACTAGAAATCAGCAACAAGAGGAATTTTGGAAACTATATGAACACATGGAAAATGAACAATATGCTCCTGAATGACAGTGGGTCAATGAAGGAATTAAGAAAGAAATTGAAAAATTTCTTGAAACAAATGATAATGGAAACACAACCTGAGAAAATCTACTGAATACAGCAAAAGCAGGGAAATTTATAGTTATAAGTGCCTACATTAAAAAAAAAACTTCAAATAAATAACTAAACTATGCTAGAAAAGAGCAAACCAAGCTCTAAATTAGTAGAAGAAAAGAAATAATAAAGATTAGAGCGGAAATAAATGAAATTGAAATAAAAAAATACAAAACACCAACAGGATAAAAAGTTGGATTTTTGAAGGGATAAACAAAATTGATAAGCCTTTAGTTAGGTCATACTTACAAAAAAAAATGGGAGAAGACCCAAATAAATAAAATCAGAGATGAAACTGAATATATTACACTGATAGCACAGAAATTCAAAGGATCATTATTGGCTACTATGGGCAACTATATGCCAATAAATTGGAAAATCTAGAGGAAACGGATAAATTCCTAGACACATATGACCTACCAAGATTGAACCATGAAGAAATCCAAAAGTGGAATAGAACTAAAAGAAACCAGATGGAAGCCATAATAAAAAGTCTCCCAGTAAACAAAAGCCCAGGACCCAATGGCTTCGCTGCTGAATTCTATAAAACATTTAAAGAAGAATTAATACCAATTTTGCTCAAACTATTCCAAAAAATTAAAGAGGAGGGAATACTTCCAAACTCATTCTGTAAGTCCAGTATTACCCTAATACCAAAACCAGACAAAGACACATCAAAAAAAGAAAACTGTCCAGGCATGGTGGCTCACATCTATAATCCCAGCACTTTGGGAGGCCAAAGTGGGTGGATCACGAGGTCAAGAGATCGAGACCATCCTGGCCAACATGGTGAAACCTCGTCTCTACTAAAAATACAAAAAAATTAGCTGGGTGTGGTGGTGCACACCTGTAATCCCAGCTACTCGGGAGGCTAAGGCAGCAGAATTGCTTGAACCTGGGAGGTAGAGGTTGCAGTGAACCAAGATCGTGCCACTGGACTCCATCCTGGTGACAGAGGGAGGGAGGGAAAGAAAGAAAGAAAAATAGAGAGAGAGAGAGAAAGAGAAACAGAGAGAGAGAGAGAAAAAGAAAGAAAGAAAGACAAAAAGAAGGAAGAAAAGAAAGGGAAAAAAAAGAAAAGAAAACTACAGGCCAATATTCAAAAGCCCTCAACAAAATACTATTAATAGAAAACTGAATTCACAATAAAAAACATTCATCATTACCAAGTGGGATTTATCCCAGGGATGCAAGGATTATTCAACTTAAGCAAATCAAGCAATGTGATACATAGTATCAAAAGAATTAAGACAAAAACCATGTGATCATGTCCAATGATGCTGAAAAAGCATTTGATAAAATTCAACATTTCTTCATGATAAAAACTCTCAAAAAACTGAGTATAGAACATATCTCCACACAACAAAAGGCATATACAACAGATCCGCAGCTAGTATCATACTGAACGGGAAAAACTGAAAGCCTTTCCTCTAAGATCTGGAACAAGACAAGGATGCCCACTTTCACCACTGTTATTCAACATAAAGTCCTAGCTGGAGTAATTAGACAAGAAAAAGAAATAAAGGGCATCCAAATTGGAAAGAAAGGAGTCAAATTATCCTGTCTGCAGATGATATAATCTTATATTTGGAAAAATCTAAAGACTCCACAAGAAAACTATTAGAACTAATAAATTCAATAAAGTTGCAGTATACAAATTCAACATACTAATATCAGTAGCATTCTACATGACAACAGTGAACACTATGAAAAACAAATTTAAAAGTACTCCCATTTACCACAGCCAAAAAATATTAAATACCTAGGAAATAACCAAAAAAGTGAAAGATCACTACAATAAAAACTATAAAACACTGATGAAAGAAATTCAAGAGAACACACAAAAAATAGAAAGATATTCCATATTCATGGACTGGAAGAATCATTATTGTTAAAATGTCCATACTACCCAAAGCAATCTATAAATTCTATGCAGTCTATCAAAATACCAATGGCATTATTCACAGAAATAGAAAAAAAAATTCTTAAATTTATATGGAACAACAGAAGACCTAGAATGGCCAAAGCTATCCTAAGCAAAAAGAACAAAACCGCCTCGAATAAAGGGGAATATATAAAAAAGAAAAACCTGGAGAAATCACATTACCTGACCTTAAATAGTAACTACAGTTACCATACAGAGCTATAGTAACCAAAACAGGGTAGTACTGGCATAAAAATAGACACATAGACCAATGAAACAGAATAGAGAACCCAGAAACAAATCCACACACCTGCAATTAACTCATTTTCAACAAAGATGCCAAGAGCATACACTGAGGAAAAGGCAGTGTCTTCAATAAATGGTGCTGGGAAAACTGGATATCCTTATGTAGAAGAATGAAACTAGACCTCTATCTCTCACCATATATAAAAATCAAATCAAAATGAATAAAAGACTTAAATGTAAGACCTCAAACTATGAAACTACTATAAGACAACATTGGAGACAATCTCCAGGACACTGGTCTGGGCAAAAATTTCTTGAGTAATCCCACACAAGCACAGGTAACGAAAGCAAAAATGGACAAAGGGAGTCACATTAAGGTAAGAAGCTTCTGAAGCACAGTCAACAAAGTGAAGAGACAGCCCACAGAACGAGAGAAAATTTTTGCAAACTACCCATCTAACAAGGGATTAATAACAAGAATATATAAGGGGCTCAAACAACTCTATAGGAAAAAAATTTAATAATCTGATTTTAAAAATGAGCAAGAGATTTGAGTAGACCTTTCTAAAAAGGAAGACATACAAATGGCAAACAGCCATATGAAAAGGTGCTCAACATCATTAATCATCAGAGAAATGCAAATCAAAGCTACAATGAGATATCATCTCACCCAAGTTAAAATGGCTTATATCCAGAAGATGCAATAACAAATGTTGGCAAGGATGTGGAGAAAAGGGAACCCTCCTACACTCCTACATTCTCACTCCTGGTGGGAATGTAAATTAGTACAACCACTGGGGAGAACAGTTTGGGGGTTCCTCAAAAAACTAAACATAGAGCTACCATATGATCCAGCAACCCCACTGCTGGGTATGTACCCAAAAGAAAGGAGATCAGTATATCAAAGAGATATCTGCATATCCATTGTTTGTTGCCATACTGTTCACAACAGCTAAGATTTGGAAGCAACCTAAATGTTCATCAACAGATGAATGGATCAAGAAAATGTTGCTTATATGCAATGGAATATTATTTAGCCATTAAAAAAAAAGAATGAGATCCTGTCATTGCAACAACCTAGATTGGAAGTGAAGGTCATTATGTTAAATGAAATAAGCCAGGCACAGAAAGACAAACGTCACATGTTCTCACTTATTTGTGGGATCTAAAAATCAAAACAATTGAATTCATGGGGATGGAGAGTACAAGGATGGTTGGCAGAGGCTGGGAAGGAGAGTGGAATGTGGGGAGGAGGTGGGAATGGTTAAGGGGTACAAAAAAATAGAAGAATGAATAATACCTAGTATTTGATAGCACAATAGGGTAAATACAGCCAAAATAATTTAATTGTGCATTTTAGAATAACTAAAAGAGTGTAATTGGACTGTTCATAACACAAAGGATAAATGTCTGAGGGGATGGATACCCCATTTTCCATAATGCAATTAGTAGGCATTGCATGCCTGTATCAAAACATCTCATGTACCGCATAAATATGTTCACCTATGTAACCACAAAGATAAAAAATAAATATTGGAAAATAAATATTGATAGGTGTGTAAGTCTAAAAAAAAGCCAAAATGTTAATAATTGGGTGTGATATTATGTTAAATCTTTTATTTATTGATATTTTCCAACTTTCTAAATTTTTGGCAATGAGCATAAAATACTTTTAAAATCAATTAAAAGAATGTATTTGTAAAAACCTTTATGTCTTATGTAATTTTCTAAACTGACACCTACAGAAAGCGGCTGTGTTTCAAGAGTAGAAAGGAAAGGGATTTCACAGTCCCATCAAGAGTGTAAAAGTGTTCCTATGTCTCCACATCCTCTCCAGCACCTGTTGTTTCCTGACATTTTAATGATCGCCATTCTAAATGGTATGAGATGGTATCTCATTGTGGTTTTGATTTGCATTTCTCTGATGGCCTGTGATGAGCATTTTTTCATGTGTCTATTGGCTGCACAAATGTCTTCTTTTCAGAAGCGTCTGTTCATATCCTTCGTAAACTCATTCAACCATTGTGGAAGACAGTGTGGCGATTCCTCAGGTATCTAGAACTAGAAATACCATTTGACCCAGCCATCCCATTACTGGGTATATACCCAAAGGATTATAAATCATGCTGCTATAAAGACACATGCACACGTATGTTTACTGCGGCACTATTCACAATAGCAAAGACTTCGAACCAACCCAAATGTCCATCAGTGATAGACTAGATTAAGAAAATGTGGAAGCATTCCCTTTGAAATCTGGCACAATGTGGAAAAACTGGAAGCATTCCCTTTGAAAACTGGCACAAGACAGGGATGCCCTCTCTCACCACTCCTATTCAACATAGTGTTGGAAGTTCTGGCCAGGGCAACTAGGCAGGAGAAGGAAATAAAGGGTATTCAATTAGGAAAAGAGGAAGTCAAATTGTCCCTGTTTGCAGATGACATGATTGTATATCTAGAAAACCCCATTGTCTCAGCCCAAAATCTCCTTAAGCTGATAAGCAACTTCAGCAAAGTCTCAGGACACAAAATCAATGTACAAAAATCATAAGCATTCTTAAACACCAATAACAGACAAACAGAGAGCAAAATCATGAGTGAACTCCCATTCACAATTGCTTCAAAGACAATAAAATACCTAGGAATCCAACTTACAAGGGATGTGAAGGACCTCTTCAAGGAGAACTACAAACCACTGCTCAAGGAAATAAAAGAGGATACAAAGAAATGGAAGAACATTCCATGCTCATGGGTAGGAAGAATCAATATCGTGAAAATGGCCATACTGCCCAAGGTAATTTATAGATTCAATGCCATCCCCATCAAGCTACCAATGACTTTCTTCACAGAACTGGAAAAAACTACTTTAAAGTTCATATGGAACCAAAAAAGAGCCCGCATTGACAAGTCAATCCTAAGCCAAAAGAACAAAGCTGGAGGCATCACACTACCTGACTTCAAACTATACTACAAGGCTACAGTAACCAAAACAGCATGGTACTGGTACCAAGACGGAGATATAGATCAATGGAACAGAACAGAGCCCTCAGAAATAACACCACATATCTACAACCATCTGATCTTTGACAAACCTGAGAAAAACAAGCAATGGGGAAAGGATTCCCTAGTTAATAAATGGTGCTGGGAAAACTGGCTAGTCATATGTAGAAAGCTGAAACTGGATCCCTTCCTTACACCTTATACAAAAATTAATTCAAGATGGATTAAAGACGTAAACGTTAGACCTAAAACCATAAAAACCCTAAAAGAAAACCTAGGCATTACCATTCAGGACATAGGCATGGGCAAGGACTTCATGTCTAAAACACCAAAAGCAATGGCAACAAAAGCCAAAATTGATAAATAGGATCTAATTAAACTAAAGAGCTTCTGCACAGCAAAAGAAACTACCATCAGAGTGAACAGGCAACCTACACAATGGGAGAAAATTTTCACAACCTACTCATCTGACAAAGGGCTAATATCCACAATCTACAATGAACTCAAACAAATTTACAAGAAAAAAACACACAACCCCATCAAAAAGTGGGCGAAGGACATGAACAGACACTTCTCAAAAGAAGACATGTATGCAGCCAAAAAACACATGAAAAAATGCTCACCATCACTGGCCATCAGAGAAATGCAAATCAAAACCACAATGAGATACCATCTCACACCAGTTAGAATGGCAATCATTAAAAAGTCAGGAAACAACAGGTGCTGGAGAGGATGTGGAGAAATAGGAACACTTTTACACTGTTGGTGGGACTGGAAACTAGTTCAACCCTTGTGGAAGTCAGTGTGGCGATTCCTCCGGGATCTAGAACTTGAAATACCATTTGACCCAGCCATCCCATTACTGGGTATATACCCAAAGGACTATACATCATGCTGCTATAAAGACACATGCACACGTATGTTTATTGCGGCACTATTCACAATAGCAAAGACTTGGAACCAACCCAAATATCCAACAAGGATAGACTGGATTAAGAAAATGCGGCACATATACACCATGGAATACTATGCAGCCATAAAAAATGATGAGTTCATGTCCTTTGTAGGGACATGGATGAAATTGGAAATCATCATTCTCAGCAAACTATGGCAAGGACAAAAAACCAAACACTGCATATTCTCACTCATAGGTGGGAATTGAACAATGAGAACACATGGACACAGGAAGGGGAACATCACACTCTGGGGACTGTTGTGGGGTGGGGGGACGGGGGAGGGATAGCATTAGGAGATATACCTAATGCTAAATGACAAGTTAATGGGTGCAGCACACCAGCATGGCACATGTATACATATGTAACTAACCGGCACATTGTGCACATGTACCCTAAAACTTAAAGTATAATAATAATAAAATTAAATAAAAAAAAAAAAAGAAAATGTGGCACATATACACCATGGAATACTATGCAGCCATGAAAAGGATGAGTTCATGTCCTTTGTAGGGACATGGATGAAGCTGGAAACTATCATTCTCAGCAAACTATCACAAGGACAAAAAACCAAACACTGCATGTTCTCACTCATAGGTGGGAAATGAACAATGAGAACACTTGGACACAGGAAGGGGAACATCACACAATGGGGCCTGTCGTGGGGTGGGGGGAGTGGGGAGGGATAGCATTAGGAGATATACCTAATATAAATGACGAGTTAATGAGTGCAGCGCACCAACATGGCACATGTATACATATGTAACAAACCTGTACATTGTGTACATGTACCCTAGAACTTAGAGTATAATAAAAAATATATATATTATATATATAATGTATATTATATATATTTTATATATATATAAAAGAAACGAAAGGGATTTTGGAATCAGAAAAACTAGGCAATGAAGGAAATTGGTTTCCTCTTAGCAGGTTGGCCTGATATTGCAGATAGCAGAATTCCTGTTGAGTCTGGGATTGAGTTATAAGTGATGTGAAGACATAACCTTTATTTATCAATGAGATAGAGTTGAGGAGTGGGTCTCAGTTAACCTAAGATGGACAGGGGAAGCTCTGGATCCGGGAACATAACTTTTATAACTTATTGAATTGTTTGTAATAGTTGGCTTTTTAAGTTCTTTGAATCTAGAAAAGTGAAGAACTTGTTTCTGCCACTTGAGGATCCGAGTAGTCTTCACTGAGATTTCTGAGAACTTTTGGTTTACAATACCAAAATATTTAGTTATTTCTAAAATAAAATGTACATTTTATTTTTTATTTCAAAGATACATTAGTTTAAAATGTTAATATAAAGTAAAAAGGTAATTAATATGTATTTCAATATACACTAATGCCTGTGCATGTCTACTGAAAAACAGAACGAAGTACTCTCAGATGTTTAAGCTTACTGTAATTAGTAAGTTTGAATTTAAAAGATGAAAATTAAAAGTTAGTCTGTACATTGAAGCATAAAAAAATGAAGAGACAGAGGGACCAAAAGGGAGCATAAAATCTAGTGATAGAATAAGTCGTAACAGACCAAACTTATCTATAAGTGAAAAGAGAAAGAACAAAATAACCTTAATTGACATAGAGATAATATGCCAAACAAATTATAGATTGTGAGAGGAGAGAATAAGGGAGTATGATATTCTTTCAGAAAAAAACACAGGGCCTGTATGAAAGCCTACAAAACTTTAAAAATCTGTGTGGGATGCAGAATTAGTCTTTAATGTGCAGAAGTGTCCCATGCATGGCAAGATATTCAGCATCCTTGGCTCCCACACACAAAATGTGCAAGCACCCTTTGTCATAGTGACACTCTCAAACTCTATCGGATCTAATCTTCCCTTTTTATAACAAACGTCATCTAATGCCCTCATTATTCTCCTGTAACAAAAGTCATAGATCACATATAAGCTCTTACACATATGAATTTTTAAAATTCAATACAGTATCTACATCCAAGGTTTAATATAAAGGAGAAACAACAGGAAAGTAATTTATAATAAAGTATTACATATTTTTATATGTAAATGCCTGAGCATGGCTTTGCTGGAAGCCATCAAGATCTAATCTAATATTTACTCCTACATTAATGAGTAAATCTAAATTTAAGAGGTCACTTGTAGGGGTATAGGAAAATGAAAGAACAAGGATAAAGATGTGCACTCAAATGAAAACTTATGTCAGGATACGTCATAATTGAGTGTACTTATTTACATATGACGAAAGCAAAATGACCTTAATTTAAAAGGGAATAACAGGCCAAAACAAATGACAGATTGTCAAAGTAGAAATATAAGTAGTATAGTATTTTTGCAGAAAAGCTACACAACGTATATAAAAATGTCTAGCGGGAGTTTGAGACCAGCCTGACCAACACGGTGAAACCCCATCTTTACTAAAAATACAAAAAAATTAGCCGGGTGTGGTGGAGCATGCCTGTAGTCCCAGCTACTCAGGGGGCTGGGGCAGGAAAATCACTTGAACCTGGGAGGTGGAGGTTGTAGTGAGCTGAGATCGCACCACTGCACTCCAGCATGGGCCACAGAGCAAGACTCTGTCTCAAAAACAAAACAAAACAAAACAAAACAAAACAATTCTAGCAGGACTTAAGAAATGTATACAATTGAAGCTAATTCCTTGTCCTTTGGAATTATCTCATACACTACTGTTTTTAACAGTCCTTGGATCCACACACCAAGTGCTATATAGCAACCCACATCATTACAACAACCTAAAACACTCTCACAAATTTCCAAAACAGCCCTGGTTAGAACCACTGATCTAGTCACTTGCTATCATCCTCAGATTAAACATACATAATTAATTCCTTAAGAACAGTTTATAAGGACTGGCTTAAATTCCACCCCACCCCAAACCCCTCTCAGTTCAACTCCCTTGACATACCTGTAATTGGCTTTTCAAAGCCTCAGTCCCAATTATGATGGAAACTCAATGAGGAAAGCAACTCACTATATTGTTCCCTGTGCCATATCCAATGCCTAGCACAGGGCATGACACGTAACATGTTAGATAATTTTCTTGAATTGATTAAATTCATATTATTTACCTTAACAGTACAGTTGCACTTGTTCTTCTTTAAGCCAAATTTAGACTAATTAAAATAAATATTTTTAATAATGCCAAGAAAGAGCAAAGCATAAAAAAACAGACTTTACAGCTAGAAAAAAAGTGAAACAGAACACTTAGCTGGTAACTTGCAAAACTACTATAAAGAAGACCTAGGGTAGGTCAGTTATTAAAATGTTTACAGGTTTTTGAGGAGACTGTTTTCATCCATTTTGCAAAATAAAAAATTCATAAAAACACTGACAAGCAAAGAGATAATTATAATTTATTTAGAATTATTTAGAAGTAAACATAGTCTTTTTAAAACTTGAAAAATTCTGAATACCAACAAAATAACAACAAAAAAAAAAATCTTAAAATGCCTTACATAAGTGGAAAGTCACCAGCTCCAAGCTACACCTCCATCTGGCCACCAGTTGTCTAATACGAGTAGATGGTAGTGACCTGGCTCTGTTACATTGTTATTGATTAAATTTGTATATTATCATTAACTAAAGTTCATACTTTTTTCAGATTTTAGCTTTCCTTTCCATTAGGTAAGCCACCTGGCTACGATAGTGTTTGTCATGTTTCTCCACTGGAAAGTTACTCCCCACTTCTCCACCCTTTCCTTGATTTATTCTTGGGAAAGAAGTCACCATGCACAGCCCACACTTACGGGGTGAGGTGTTATCCTTAACGACAAATTGCTTGGATTCTCTTGCCTGGGAGATTTTTCAATTATCCCTATTTGTTTATATCAGTATAAACTTATGGATATTTATTTTATACCTTGGAGTATAACCCAATATTACTTCATTTTGTTGCTCAATTGTTTCAGCTTTGGCATTTGGGAGCTCTTTTCAGTTGCCTCTTGTGCCCCTTTGAGATGCTTTCATCAATGTGGTTTTGTTTTTTGTTTGTTTGATTTTGTTTTGTTTTTTGAACTTTTCTTACTTTCTGGTACTACAAGTTGGCCCAGGCTCATCTTATATACTCCTTTTTCAACCTGGAATCAGTCATTTCTCCAAGAAGCCCTAGTTTTTATTGGAGAATGGTACTAGAAAGCAAGATCTGGTTACTGGGTGTGCTCATTACTGTGAGGGTGTCATTGCTTCTACATTCTCCTAGCTAACAGAGCAAGGAAATATATGTGTGCCTACCAAACCATGCATATACACATATTTATAAATGTGTCCATATGTATCTATATAAAGAAAAACAGTTTGTTCTAATGTCTCCAACTCTAATTCATTACTACCTGTTTCATTCTAGCTTTCGCCCATTGCTTGTCTGTAGCCTCCCACTCCAACAGCAAATGTCTACTAGCCGCTTATGTAAGTGTTCCATTCTCTATAGTCATCCCACTGACTAAGTTTATACTAATGTGCCCCGATTTCACTTGTCAGCCAGAACCTAGAGTAAGTCAATGTTTTCATGTAAGAATGGTGGTAATCACCACAGAGGATCTCATTTAAATTAGCAAATTGCCATTTTCCAAAATATCTCTGAAGATAGCAAACTGACACATCAAGCTGCTAATTATTCTTCCCAGCTTTAAGTATTAGCTTCAGATACTTGGAAAGAGATAAGGAAATATGATACTTCTGTGTGCCTCCATTTTTCCTGCCACCACAGTACAATCATTTCACATTTTTTAAAAGAAATCTTTGAAAATTTTTCATCTTTTACACTATTGTAGGCTCACTGCTATTGTATAAAGTTAATCTCTTTAAAAATAGTAACATTCCTTTACTGAGGATATTCTATTGGCCAGATGCTGTTGAAATGCTTTATATTCATTATGTTACAATCCTCTCACCATACCCACAAAGTAAATTATGCCATCCCTGTCTTAGAGATGAGTGAAATGAAGCTGAGAAATTAAATAATTTATTCAAGGTCAAACAGTTAGTAAAAAGCAAAACAGGGAGCTCGTATTTTAAAGGCTACACTCTTTCCCCCACGGCAGGCAGAGCTCTACAAAGAGTGTTCTGGGAAATCAATGTCCATATATGCATACCTAATTCCTATTTGTATAAGCAAAGAGACAAATTTATTTAGTTTTATAATTTTAACTTTTATTTTAGATTCAAGGGGTACATGTGCAGGTTTGTTACCTGGGTATATTGCACGATGTTCAGGCTTGGGGTACATTTGATCCTCTCGCCCAGGTAGTGAGCATAGTACCCTGTAGTTAGCTTTTAAATCCTTGCCCTCCTTTCTCCCTAGACCCTCTACTGGTCCCCAGCGTTCATTGTTCTCATCTTTATGTCCATGAGTACCCAATGTTTAGCTCCCACTTGTAAGTAAGAACACGCAGTATTTGGTTTTCTTTTCCTGCATTAATTAGCTTAGGATAATGGCTTTCAGTTCCATCCATGTTGCTGGAAAGGACATGATTTCATTCTTTTTTTATGGCCGTATAGTATTCAGTGGTGTTCATGTACCACATCTTGCAAAGAGACAAATTTAGAATTAAAAAACAAAACAAAAAACTAACATGTTCACTTTTTCCCTAATTTTACACGGGACTTAGTGCAAGGAATAAGCTCAGGTCTCAAAAAGAAAGTAACCATATCAGTATTCATCTTGGTCATCTCTAATTTGAAATGGAAAATAAATCTAGCAACATAATATAAAGGTTCCTACTAAAGGTAGAGACTTCATGATATGGTTTGGCTGTATCCCCACCCAAATCTCATCTTGAATTGTAGCTCCCATAATCTCCACGTGATGTGGGAGGGACCTAGTGGGAGGTAACTGAATCATGGGGGTGGGTCTTTCCCATGCTATTCTCATGGTAGTAAATACGTCTCATGAGATCTGATGGTTTTATAAAGGGGAGTTCCCCTTGCATGCTCTTGCCTGCCACCATGTAAGACACGACTTTGCTCCTCACTCACCTTACACCATGATTGTAAGGCCTCCCCAGCCATGTGGAAGTGTGAGTCAATTAAACGTCTTTCCTTTATAAATTAGCCAGTCTCAGGTATGGCTTTATTAGCAGCGTGAGAACAGACTAATACACTTCATAATCCATTAACAATTTTTATAGTATTCTTTCTGAAAAGATCTACAAGAGAATATGAATAGTTGAAGAATGATTTAAAAGTACAAATAATTCAGACAGAGGGTTTCTTGAAAAATTAATACTTGTGAATAGTACAAGCTAATTTTAATTTCCTTGCTTTTTTATCCCTTGACAAATGACTGTGTTTTGTTTGGGCCAAAGCAAAATATAAAGTCTTTACATCAGTTAAAATTGTTTCTCTTCATACATTTAGCCTGAACGATCTCATTCTTCTGAAAAATTGGGAGGAGGAAGGAGAAAAACCCATAAGCTATACAACATGAATCCTTCTCTAAATTAATTCAAAAAACTTTTTAAATTTTATCTTATGAACAAAGAATTTGAAAATAAATTGGCTTTCATGCTACAACTGGATTTTTCCTTGTTATGAGGAAAAAAAAGAAAGGAGATGCAACCTTAGATGAAGAAGACTTTATCTGTCTACCTGGATGTAGTGAGAGGGCTGGTATCTATTTAGAAGCCCACTGCTTGTTCATATCTATAATTGGGAAGAAAGCCTTTGCCAAATAAACTCATACTCTTGGGTCTTTTTTCACTATGCCAATCATGACTAAATCTCCAAATTAAAATATCTAATCTGGGGTTTTTAAAAAAGCATTTTTTAGGCATGCATAAATAAGCCACATTTAAAATTGGGTGATTCTAAAAGATCACATGAAAAGAACCTCATAATAGAAGATTCAGTGAGCCACATGAACCAAAATTCTGGGATTCCCATACCATTTAAAGAGCTCAGCCTCTTCTCTGATTGTACTAGACTCTTGAAGGGGGATGAACAGGGGCAAAATTTAAAGAGTATTCACTGCAGGCAGTAATTTACAGTAAATTAAATAATATTCACACTGAAAAGAAGAGTCTGGCTAGATAAAAGAGAAAAATAGTAGCAAGCATAGGTGGAGATTATGTAAATTAGAAAAATTAAACAAAAGTTTTTCAGATATAAAGATAACTAATCACCTGTGTAAACATCTTGAGCTGTAGCAGCACCAGCTTAAAATTAAAGGAAAAAGAAAAAAGCTTATTGTCAGTGAGCACTAAATAATTGTTGACATTGCTTCATTATGATTCCTGTTCATCTGCTATTTACCAAAATTTTTCATTGCTGAGTACAGCCTAGAATAGTGTTTTTCAGAAAGGCCTGATATCTGTGCTGTCCAATAAGGTAGCCACTATCCATATGAGGTTACCAAGCCTTTTGCAATGTAGCTATTGTAATACAGAAACTAAATTTTAAATTTCAATTAATTTAAATGGTCACATGTGGCTAGTGGCTACAGTATTGAATAATGCCAGTCTGTAAACTAACTCTAGTTTTATTTTCTAGGGATAAGACAAACATATGTTCACTACTAAACTCTCAGTTACAAGAAAGACCAACACCTTTTTATTAGTAACATAGATGAATATAAATAACCCAGCCTTACTAGATTAATTCATTTTCCCTTCCTTCAATAAATATTTATTGGGCACCTACTGTGTAAGTTGATGGCTGGATACCCAGAAAATTATATTTAAAGGAGTTAAAATACTCACTAAGGTTAAATTTTAAAATATGTTGGCCAGGTGTGGTGGCTCACGCCTGTAAACCCAGCACTTTGGGAGGCTGAGGTAGGTGGATCACCTGAGGTCAGGAGCTTGAGACCAGCCTGACCAAAATGGTGAAACCCTGTCTCTACTAAAAATACAAAAATTAGCTGGGTGTGGTGGTGGGTGCCTATAATCCCAGCTACTTGGGAGGCTGAGGCAGGAGAATTGCTTGAACCCAGGAAGCGGAGGTTGCAGTGAGCCGAGATCACACCACTGGACTCCAGCCTGGGCGACAAGGGAAAAACTCGGTCTCAAAAAAAAAAGGAAAACAGAAAAAAAAACCTGTTGATTAGCTGGTTGAATGAAAAGCAAACAATTCTATTCAATACTCTCAAAATCCTGATTCAGATGGAAAACTTGTTCATCAGAGCCATGTATATCAATTGCTCTCTTTATGGACTCTATGGCCTTTTTCCATATAAAATGTTACTGTTTCACAAAATTTTACTTCCCCATCAGCAAGCACTGGTGATGTGATCTCTCTTTCTGCATACAGATTGCCATTAAAATGATCAACAGGCAGTCACATAGAAGCTCCTCATCCACTCAGACCAAAAGAGGCTCCTAAGCTATCCTTCTGGATTTCTATCATCTTTTAAAACATAAATATAAAATCTTAGTGGAAACTACTCCACCAAAAGATTTGCTTCTTTCTTCTAGTATGTGATTACAGTAAATAAAATTCAAGGCTCTGTGAAAGATGTGGCCTCAGTAAACTATATAAATTAGCAACAGTGAATGGAACTTTTCCAGTGAGACATGTATAAGAAAAAACTACTCAGTAGTCTATAAAAAACAAAACAAAAAAAAAACAGACCTTGCCTGTAAGTTAACACAGACTCTTTTTGACGCCTGAAAAATCTTTCTGACCCTGGATTTTCTCATTTCAAAAGCAACCTTATCCAGCAATCTCACTTAAGTGACTTCAGCATAAGGAGGAACCACATAAGAGCAAAATCTAATTTGAGGATATAGGAATTCATTGTAGCCCCACATGCATGCAATTATCAACAATTGGAAACAACTTACATGGCAATAAAATGCTATGCTTCATTTAAAATTACCAATATGTATTGCCATAGAAAGGGGCCCATGACATTGCTGACAAAAAAAAAGTAGGCTATAAAGAATGTATGGAAAGAGGTTCAAAAAGATGCTTTCTAAAAGAGCAATAGTGGTTATCACAGGATTGTGATATTTGAGATAGTTTTTACCGCTTTGCTTTTACTTCTGTGTATCATTCAAATTTCTACATCCAGTATAAAGTTTCCTTCATTCCCTCTCCTCTCTCTTTAAACCCTCAACTCTAACCCACCTCCATCCCCTTTTCTTGCCTCATCCCACGGAGAAAACAAAAACCATCAGACCATGTATTCATTTCCTAGGATTGCTGTAACACAAACTGAGTGGCTTCACAACAGAAATGTGTTGTCTCAATTCTAGGAGCTAAAACTCCAAGATCAACATGTCAGAAGGGTTCTGTCTGAGGGCTGTGAGTGGTTGCTGGCAGTCTTTGGCATTCCGAGTAAAGTAGATGCATCACCCTGATCTCTCCTTCATCTTCACATGGCATTCTCCTTCTTTTCACTCTGGGGACTGTTGTGGGGTGGGGGGAGGGGGGAGGGACAGCATTGGGAGATATACCTAATGCTAGATGACGAGTTAGTGGGTGCAGCGCACCAGCATGGCACATGTATATATATGTAACTAACCTGCAGAATGTGCACATGTACCCTAAAACTTAAAGTATAATAAAAAAAAAAAAAACCTGACATCTAGACCAATGGAACAGAATAGAGAGCCAAGAAATAAATTCACGTATTTACAAACCAATTCATTTTCAGCAAAAGTGCTAAGAACACACAATGAGGAAGAAACAGTCGCTTTAGTAAGTGGTGTTGGGAAAACTGGATATCCATAAGCAGAAGAGTAAAATTAGATCCTATCTCACACCGTCTACAAAACTCAATTCAAAATGTATTAGAGACTTAAGCATAAGACCTGAAACTATAAAACTACTAGAAGAAAAACTAGGGGAAATCTCTATGACATTGGTCTGTGCAATTTTTTTTATATGACAACAAAAGCACAGGGAACAAAAACAAAAATAGACAAATGGGATTATATCAAACTAAATACCTTCTGCACAGCCAAGGAAACAATCAACAAAATAAAGAAACAACCTATGAGACAGGAGAAAATACCTGCACACCATATATCTGATAAGGAGTTAGTATCCCAAATATGTATGGAACTCAAACAACTCAATAGCAAGAAAACAAATAACCCAATTAAAAAATGGACAAAGGAGCTAAATAGACATTTCTCAAAAAAAGACACAGAATGGCTAAGAGGTGTATGAAAAAGTGCTCAACATCACTAATCATCCGGGAAATGCAAATCAAAACCACAGTGAGATATCAGCTCACACCTGTTAGGATGGCTAGACTAGATAAAAGATAAGTTTTGGCAAGGATGTTGAGAAAAGGGAATTCTCACACAGGGTTGATGGGAATGCAAGTTAATACAACCATTGTGGAAAATTGTATGGAGGTCCCTCAAAAAATTAAAAATAGAACTACAATATGATCCACTACTGGATATATATACAAAGAAAATGAAATCAGTATGTTGAAGAAATATCTGCATTCCCATGTTCATTGCAGTATTATTCACAGAAGTAAAGATATAGAATCAACCTAAGTGTCCATCAATGGATGAATGAAGAAAATGTGATATTTATAAAATGTGACATACACCGTATATGAATACTACACTATTCAGCTTTTAAAAAGTAAGAAATCTTGGCCAGGCGTGGTGGTTCACGCCTGTAATCCCAGCACTTTGGGAGGCCGAGGTGGGGCGATCATGAGGTCAAGAGATCGAGACCATCCTGGCTAACATAGCGAAATCCTGTCTCTACTAAAAATACAAAAAATTAGCCGGGCGTGGTGGCAGGCGCCTGTAGTCCCAACTCCTTGGGAGGCTGAGGCAGGAGAATGGCATGAACCCGGGAGGCAGAGCTTGCAGTGAACGGAGATCGCGCCACTGTACTACAGCCTGGAGCGAGATTCCGTCAACGTGGATGAACCTGGAGGACATTATACTAAGTGAAATAATCCAGGCACAGAAAGACAAATACCTCATGATCTCATTTATATGTGGAGTCTTAAAAAGTTAAAACTCATAAAGCAGAGAGCAAAATGTTGGTTACCATGTGCTAGGAGAATGAGGTGTGAGGAAGACTGGGTAATGTTGGTCAAAGGATATAAAACTTTAGTTAGATAAGAGGAATACATTTAAGAGATCTATCGTAAAACATGGTGACTATAGTTAACAACAATGTATTGTACTACTGAAAATCACTAAGAGAGTAAATTATAAGTGTTCTCACCAGAAAAAAAAATAAGTGAGGTAATGCATATGTTAATTAGCTTGACTTGCATTTCATAATGTATACATATTCAAAACATCATGTTGTACATTTTAAAATATACAAATTTTATTTGTCAATTTAAATAATTAATAATTTTTTAATATTCTGAATATGGTGGTTACTTCTTTCATAGTTGTATACAATATGTTAAGAAAACCTCCTAAAAACAACGCCATCATTTTATAACCTTCTACTATCGTATAAAAATGGCCAAGAAAAAGAGTAGCAGAAATGTTTAGCTTTAGACAAAGAATATAAATGTAAATATTAAGTCTTTATTAAGCTCTTACTACGTATCAGGCACTCTACCAAGCATGTACCTAAAGAAGTACTCTGTTCCCTTGTGCATGGTAGCATGACTGACATGTAGTTAAGAGCTTAAAAATCTTCCATATTTGGTCCTGCTTATAGAACTTATAGCCTTAGAACACATAGCATGCAATTACGGCACAGAATAATAGATGTTAATACATGAGCAGAATGGGAGCAAAAATAAGGAGCATGTAATTCCATCTTTTAGGCACCATGGATAATTTTCCAAAATAAAGATGACGCTTCTTCAGAGACATGAAGGACTTAGGATTGTTGGCCTAGCTTAGAGTCAAAAAGAAACATCTGGGAAAATACATTCTCACCAGTCTATTGGGTTCATTAACACCTTTTACTGTCTCTCCCCATTTTCTCACACAGGATGTTAACCTCCGGCAAAGTCCTTCCAGTCTGGCATATTTCCAAGCATTTTCTCTCACTTGTGTTCATAATAAATACATGAAGTCTACTCCCTCTTGTATATCATAAAATGGACTGTTTTCCCTTTTACTTTCAAACTAACAGATCTACCTTTCCCTTTCTACCTTCTTCCTTCTCCCTTCCTTCTCTCTCCCTCTCTTTCCCTCCCTCCCTCCTTCTCTCTCATACACACACACACACACACACACACACAGAGCCAGTCCTGAGAACAATCAGGACTCAGCCAAAGACAGCCCCTCCCCTCTAATGACTAAGGCTTTCTGACTGAGTCAGGTTCAGGTGTCTAGCTGCGGGCAAAAGGCTCCTCTGTCCTCTAATCAGTGTTGTCTATTTGCAGGCTGTGTAGAGCCTAATAAAACAAAGTTCTGGCTGGGCATGGTGGCTCACACCTGTAATCCCAGCACTTTGGGAGGCCTAAGCGGGCAGATTGCTTGAGGTCAGGAGTTTGGAACCAACCTGGCCAACATGGTGAAACCCCGTCTCTACTAAAAATACAAAAAATCAGCCAGACATGGTGGTGCATGCCTGTAGTCCCAGCTACTTAGGAGGCTGAGGCAGGAGAATCGCTTGAGCACTGGAGGCAGAGGTTGCAGTGAGCCGAAATCGTGCCACTGCACTCGAGCCTGGGTGACACAGTAAAACTCCATCTCAAAAACAAAATAGTTCTAGAAATTACTGCTTCTTCCACACCCACACACGCTCCCAAAAAGAAAGCATAAGCTCTATGAGGATAGAATTTTTTTTCTGTTTTGGCCACTGCTTTATCCCAAATGACTAGAACAGCATCTGGCATGTACTATGCACTCAGAGAATATTGATGGAATGAATGAATGATGGGACCAATCCAACAGTTTCCCAGTCATGCCAAGATATGATTAAACCTGGCATGAGATCAAACTGGTACCCCTGTTACACTAAGATTCAAGGAACACATAAAAATAAAGAAGATGCAGCAAATTAAGAAATCTGTATTAGTCAGAGTTCTCTAGACAGACAGAACCACCAGACAGATGGACGGGTGGGTGGGTAGATAGATAGATAGACAGTTAGATAAGAGATGGGATTTGTTAGGGGAATTGGCTCATGTACTCATGGAGGCTGAGAAGTCCCATGATAGGCTATCTGCAAGCTGGAGACCCCGGGATGCTGTCAGCATGGATCAGTGTAGTCCAAAGGCCTTAGAATGAGAGAAGCAGATGATGTAATTCTCATTCCAAGGCCAAAGGCCTGAGAACCCAGAAGCCTGCTGATATAAGTCCTGGAGTCCGAAGGCCTGGGAGCCTGGAGTTCTCGTCCAAGGACAGGAGAGGAATAGTGTATCTCAGCTCCAGCAGATAGATCAACATATTTGCCTTTTCTCTATTTTTGTTCTGTCTGTGCTCCCAACAGATTAGATGTACCCGCCCACACTGAAGGCAGATCTTCCCTGCCTAGTCCACTCAGACTCACACGCTAACCTCTTCTGGAAACACCCTCACAGACACACCCAAAAATAATCCTTCACCAGTCACCAGGTTTCTAGATATTATTGAATTCAGTCAAGTTAATATCTAAAATTAACCATCACAGTATCTGAATTCACAGAAAGACAGTCTTAATAAACATAAAATTACACTGCTGTTAATAAATAATCAGGCAAAAAATTTACAGTTTTCAAAAATGTGGGTTGGTTGATATATATATATTTTCATGTTATAAGGAAAATGACTATTTATGACTTAACAATTTTTAAAGGACTTGAATACATCATTCAACATTCTACTGTCTGGAGAATTAATTTGATTACATGTCTAAAGTGACTAATAAAGAGCTGTGAGTTAAGTTGATCCTGCTGTCTTGATAAGCTATTATGGCAGAAAAGACCACTAACTGTGCTAAGAAGAAAATAAGTTCCAAGGGTCCTTTTCAATCCAAGAAATCAAAGCAATTAATATAATTCATACAAAGGACATAAAACACTAAAATCATGAAAAAGTAAAATTAAAATATATGAATAGGCCAGGCGAGGTGGCTTATGCCTTTAATCCCAACACTTTGGGAGGCTGAGGTGGGCAGATCACCTGAGGTCAGGAGTTCAAGACCAGCCTTGCCTACGTAGTGAAACCATGTCTCTACTAAAAATACAAAAGTTAGCCGGGTGTGGTGGCACATGCCTGTAATCTCAGCTACTCAGGAGGATGAGTCAGGAGAATCACCTGAACCCAGGAGGCTGAGGTTGCAGTGAGCCAAGATCGTATCACTGGACTCCAGCCTGGGTGACAGAGTGTGACTACGTCAAGAAACAAAGAGAAAGAGAGAGAGAGAGAGAGAGAGAGAGGGAGACAGAGAGACAGACAGAGACAAAGAGAGAGAAACAAAAAAGAAGAGAAGAGAGAAAGAAAGAAGAAAAGGAGGGAAGGAGGTAAGGAAGGAAAAGAAAAGAAAGGAAGGAGAGAAAGAAAGGAAAGAAAGGAAAGGAAAGGAAAGGAAGTAAAGAGAAAAGAAGAGAGCGAGAGAGAGAGAAACAGAGAAAGAGGAAAAGGAAAAGGAGATGAATAACTGCAAAGGATCAGGACTAATATTCCTGAGAGCTGTGACACATGTTATTGAATACCTTTCTTTATATCTCCTGTCATAGTGTTCCACAGAATTTGAATATTAGTATCCAATAGCTACTGATGCCTGTGAACTGAACCCCACAAGAGGCTGAGTGCTTCCTGCAAGACCAGCAAAACATCAAGTCAGCATGGGCTCTCAGAAAGTATGTATTAGATTTCATTTTACAACATTTTGAAGCTCCCCCAAACACCATGGCAAACACTACTCAAATTCTCCCAGTAATCCAGGTGTTCCAACACAAAATGTGTGCTGAACCCACCACACCACAGCTGTCTTTGTAACAGGTTTTTTGAGTCTTCCTGCTACTACTTGTCACAGCATGGCAAACTCCAAACATTCCCATCACCAAAATACATCCCAACATTGTAGAATAGTTAAGTCTTTCTCAAATACATCACAAACAATAATCCTATATGTCTATGTTTTTATAATACAAAACAATGACTTTGGTCAACAATTAAAAAACATTTACTAAGTTCAATAACAATAGAAGGAGTCCAGGACATGCCAGTCTCATATAAAAGGTGTTCTCACTGATAAAACTGAGAACAAATAAGATGATAAATCATTTGCCCAAATACAAAGTCCAGCAATATTTTAAAATAAGCCTGAAATCTGAACCTCCTGAGAGGATCTTAACGTAGCTCACCTGTCATAGCATTCCAGGAAAAGCTAAGAGATAAGGAGATTGCAGAGAAACAAATGAGAATGTGTGCTTTTATATAAAGTTAGACTCCCATGGGCTTTTGATAAAGTCCTTCAGATGAGTCAAATCAGTTGGTATGTTACAGAAATTTGCAAATTAAGCATTGGTTTAAGAGATTAAAAGGCGTATCAGTAGTAAATGAACAAGTCACAGAGATAACAAGTAAAATCAAAGACAAGGCAAGATGTTAGAAGTTGAAGGGTAGTTCTCCGAAAGAAACTAATTCATTTTGGTTAATTAGAAGTAGAAGAAATATTGTATTATGAGTAACGTTGAATATTTAGACAAATGTTTACACAAAATGTCAAGGAAGTAGGCATAACCTTTAGAATTGCACAGAGTCCCTATGTGCAGGACTTACAGCCTAACAAACCAAACCAAATGAGGTCGCAACTGACTTAGGGACAAGCAGGGTCACAGAGTAACACCCCATGCAGAAGTCCAGACTGATTAGTAATGATGAGTCTTTTCCAAATGTTCAGGGACTACAACAATAGTGAGGCTAATGCCAACATTTGGAAAACCATTCCCATGGGGCCCAGGTCTTTACTACAAATCATTAAGGCTGACTGCCGGAAACTTCCATTAATGAATAGAAAATTCATTCATGAAGGAGCAGGGAGGTTTTCCCATAATCCATTCTTCTCTCCTTCCTTGATAATAAAATCCCCATTGAGCACATTTCTAAGACTCCCTTACAGCTAGATGAGGCCATGTAACTAAATTATGGTCAATGGGCTATGATACAATAAAAATAAATATTTGGTCTTTACGCCCAGTTCCACAGAGCTCCTTAAAACTCTTGGAATTTCTTTAGTGATGGGGGTATCTTTTGTTATTCATAAGGAGACCCTTTCAACCACATCTGAGTTTATGCTAATGAGGTGACTTAGATGGGGTGGAAGGGGGGTGGAAGGGGGGTGGCCTGCAGGTAGTCTCAGACAGAGCTGGTCACAAGGAAGACCAAACTTGTTATTAGAGGGTTGGAACTTTCAGTACCTCTGAGGAGGAGAAGGGGGGACCTGAAGATTGAGCTCTATAAAAACTCTTGAAGAATGAGATTGGGAAGCTTCCTGGTTGGTAAACACATCCGCATGAGGAGAGGTTGCTCCATTAGGACAGAGGCTCCTGCACTTGGAACCAGACCTCACCCCATGTTAACTCTTTATCTGGCTGTTCACTTCTATCCTTTATAGTAAACAAATACACACAAGCAAAGTATTTTCCCAAGTTCTGTGAGTTGCTAAAACAAATTATCAAAACTGAGAGGCGTTGTGAGAATTCCCAAATTTGAAGTCAGTGGAGCAGAACTGTTGGCAGCCTGGGCACATCGTATGTGGCTGGCATCTGAAGTAGGAACAGTCTTGTGGGACAGAGCCCTTTAACTTGTGGAATTGCACACTAACTCCAGGTAAAAAATGACAGGATTGAGTTGAATTGCTGGTCATCCAGTTGGTGCCAGATAATTGATATGCAAAGACACCACATATGTGGTGTCAGAAAGAACTTCATAAAAGCATTATTTGAATTCTATAGGAAGTATCCTTATAGTCAGAAGGCATATCCTCTCTCCTTCCTTCTTCTTTCTGATAGTAGGAAAGCAAATTGATGTCTGGAGCTCCAGAAGTCATCATGGACACTGTCCTTAGGAATGAAAATGACACATGACAGAGCCACAGGATGGAGGGAACCTGGGATCATAAATTATTAATACAAGCTGCCATAAAAGTTCTGGACTGCCTATCCCCAGACTGTATGTGAGATGGAAAGAATCCTTTATCTTGCTTAAGCCAGCACACTTATAGGTTTCTCACACACATTGCCAATTCTAAACCCTAATCATATGACAAACACTAAAATGAAAGCTTTAAGATCCTAACATGGAACTTTTTTACTAACCATGCTATGGTCCAAACATTTGGCATAGGAAAAATGTCTATGACAAAATTCACATTGGAAGAAAAAAAAAGAGAGGAATACATTTAATCTACCTGAAACAAGAGTATGCTTTGATTTGGTTTGGTTTTTGTTTCTTAAAATACTGACCCATTGTTTGCATGCCTCCATTCTAGTCGATTGGCTGGAGAATCTCTACAGGCCAATTCTCTCTTGGCCTTCAATTTACTGTTACAGAAATCAAGAGAACAGAATCTAACCAGCAGTATAAAAGGATCATTGCAAAACACTGGTTCACACATTTTCAATAGCTCGTATCTTAAATATCTGTTGTTCTTAAGGCAATGCCTAATACCAGTGAGATTTCAGAGCTCAAGTAAATTTATCAATATTAATAATTATACTTAACATTTATTGAGTGATAACTAAGTTTAACTGTGATAAATGTTTCACTTCCATTTTCTTGTTTAATTCTCAAAACAACCTGGTGAAATCGAAGATGTTATTATTTCCAGATAGAGAAGCAGAAAATGAGAACTGAAATGTAAACAAATTAAGGCATTTGTCTATATGATATAGCTAATAAGTTTTATCACCTGGCTCTGAATTCCAGGCAGTTTCACTCCACAGACCACAGTATCCATTATGTTATACTACCTCCCAATCAGGGCTAAACATCATATGATCAGGTTTTAAGTAGCAACTGTCCTTGTGAGTTTTAGGGCTATTTTAAGGACGAACCTCATTTTCTACACAAATCTTTTTGTAAAAATGTGGTCTTTGGAGTACTGGTGATCCCAAGCAGTCCACACACAATTCATTTCAGAGACGAAAACAATGGAACAATGTTGCTCATATTCATTTAATAAATTTCATAATGTGGACTAAAGATAACTATAAAGTGTTTTACATTTCTGTCCCTAAAAGATAGTCTAATTCTCTTGCCCTTGAAGCCAACCTGGTCTTAGTAACTTATTTGATAAACAGAATATAAAAGTGGCTTTCTGGGACCTCCTAGGCTATGTTATAAAAAGTCCTGAAGCTCCCACCTGGGTCTCTTAGGACCATTGCTCTTGGATCCCTAAACTACTGTGTTAGAAATCCACCTACCCTGTTTTACACACCCGTAGGAAAGACCTTAAAACTACCCTGGAGAGAGCGGGGGCCACCAGCTCATCCTAGTTTTCCAGTCATTCCAACAAAATCAGTGGGCACGTGAGCAAAGCACCTTGGAATCTCTGACTCAGCCCAGCCTTCATCACTGAATACCATCAACACCAGCCAATGCCATGTGGAGCAGAAAAATCAAACGGCCAAGCCTTGCCCCCAAAGCTCAGCCCACAGAACTGTGAAATATAGCTTGATGGTATTGTTTTAAGCCACTGAGTACTGGGATAGTTTGTCATGTAACAATACGTAACCAGAAGAATAAGATTATTTATGATTTTCACACAATCCCTTTGAGATTCTTACTAATCATTAAATCTGCAAAGGTCATATAAGTGCTCTGAAGACAATATTGGTCAGTTTATTTTGGCTCATATTTGTTGACAGCATGCAGTCTGAGCCAATGGATTCATATTTCTATGTAATTGTTTACAGTTGTTAAATTTATACTTCCGTGTGTACTGTAGTCTATCATTATGCCACCAATCCCTCCAAATGAAATAACGGCTCTAATATTGTGCACGGATAGAAAAAAAACTCCAAAACTATAATGTAAAAAGTACAGCCCAGAAGGATGTCATAAACATAGTTAAACCTGACTCCAGAAAGACTACAGAAAGTGAATCTGTACATGCTCATCCAAGTGAATCTGCAAATGTGAGAATTTAGCATAAACAGTCAAAACAGTAGAGTGAGAATACAAAGTACAATGATAATTATCTGAAAATTGGCTTTTCCTAGACTGATGATTTATTCCCCTGTTCGCTGTCTGTAATAAAACGTCAAAGAGTAACATACAACCATTTTAGCCATTTTCAAACAAAGCACGATGACCTTTCTGGCAAACCAATGAAGTTTGTCCAGAACAAGAACGAAATGATTGTATTTCTCATGGTGCTTGGTTTAAAGCAACTGTAAGTGACTCTATGTATAATAAGCAAAATGGGAATGTGTTTAAAGGACAATTCAGAGTTTATACAGAATCAGCCCAAGGCTGAAGAACCAGGCTTAAAAATGGGTAGAATCAAAAGCATATCTGAGGGTCTGCATTAGAAGCCAAGGCTGGAACAATACCCTCCTTCTGCCTGAGCTAAAGACCTGAGGGTAAATTACCAAATTATTAGGGAAAAATCTGAGTTGGAGATGTCATAGACAGAAGAGGCTTCCTCAGTTAGATTTATACCCCTCTTATGCCTCAGCTAGACAGACAGAGGCAAGACCATTATTCTAAGGCAGGAGCCTTTCTGCAGACAGACAGATGTGAAGAAGAGAAGATGAGGCTGAACTGAGCATACCCATTTCCTTCTTTCAAATTCACAAATGATATGGTCTTCTTCCCAACAGGCATGAGAATAGGCTCAGTGGAACAAGAAAGACCAGGAAGGTTTCTCCACAACAAAGTAACGTGGGACTGAGTGTTTTGTTACAAAGGTCACACTACAGAAGACTCTGGGTGCTTGCCAATGCTGCCACAACCCTGCCATGAATCTTTTTTAACTTTTAACTTCAGAGGTACATGTCCAGGTTTGTTACGGAGGTAAACGTGTGTCATGGGGGTTTGTTGTACTGATTATTTTGTCACCCAGGTATTAAGCCTAGTACCTATTATTTTTCCTGATCCTCTCCCGCCTCCCACCACCCACCTTCCAAAAGGCCCCAGTGTCTGTTGTTCCTCTCTATGTGTCCATGTGTTCTCATCATTTAGTTCCCACTTATAAGTGAGAACATGTGATATCTGGTTTTCTGTTCCTGCATTAGTTTGCTAAGGATAATGGCCTCCAGCTCCATCCAGGTGCCTGCAAAGGACATGATCTCATTCTTTTTTATGGCTGAATAATATTCCATCGTATATATGTACCACATTTTCTTCATCCAGTCTATCGTTGGTGGGCATTTATGTTGATTCTATGTCTTTACTATTGTGAATAGTGTTGCAATTAACATACATATGCATATGTATTTATAACAGAATAATTTATATTCCTTTGTATATATACCCAATAATAGGATTGCTGAGTCAAATGGTATTTCTGTCTTTATGTCTTTGAGGAATTCCTACACTGTCTTCCTGCCATGAAACTTACCTTCACATCTTGACATCATGTGAGGGGCACCATAAGAAGCCCTAGACTCTGAGGCCATCTCTTCTCACCTGGACTCTCACACCCATACAGCTCTGTACACTGCCCGAAATAGAACAGCCACCCCACCCACACTAAAACTCCCGAACATCAGAGTAATCATCTGCCATCAGTGAATACCTATTATAGCTCTTCTCTCTAAACATTCTCTTCACCTTTTTGCTCCAAGAAAAACTTTGCTATCTCCTAATGACCTAATTTAGTGGTCACTGTTTTTCCAAACTCAAATATATGGGGCTTGCCATTTCTGAAAACCTTTATAAATCCTTTTAGAAACTCATGCCATCAAATATGAACACTGTTGATCCTTCATTGTTGCAGTTAACTACAGACCTGAGTCACTCTCCCTCATTCCCAGAATATTTTAGCTCCTGATTTTCACTCTCTACCACTACTCTTTATAATTCTTATTTCAGTATTCACCTAAGTTGTGCTTCTAATACTATTCTGCCCTCTAAGTTCGTTGACCTATTTCCAGTATTCTTGTCCTCTACCCACCTTAGTCACCTACTCTCTGATTATATCTTGATCCTTGTCATACTCATAACTGAACATCCGTTATGATCTCAGTTGTGAAATCCCACAGTGTAACCAGCTTCCCTTATCAATCCACTTCACTCCCCCAAGGACCCAAACTATTTGTTCGAGACAACAGTCCATTGATCCTACTACCTTCTCACTGTCCATCACCTCTGTAAGTCTCCATTTTACTCCTAAATTGGCTTAGATTCCATGGCCTGTCATTATACAGGTTGAGTATCCCTTATCCAAAGTGCCTGGGACTAGAAGTGCTTTGGATTTGAGACACAAGTCTAAACACAAATTCGTTATGTTTCATATGTACCTTGTACACATCAACTGAAGGCAATTTTATACAGTATTTTTAATAACTTTGTGCATGAAACAAATGTTTGACTACATTTTGACTATGACCCATCATATGAGGACAGGTGTGGAATTTTCCACTTGTGGCATCATGTCAGTGCTTTAAAAAGTTTCAGATTTGGGAGAATTTTGGATTTTAGTTTTTTGAATTGGAAATGTTTAACCTGTATCACTCTTTGTATATACCCTCTATGTCCATACCCTTCTCTTTCATCCAATAAGACTGGCAAATCCCAACCCTACTTAAATCTAGCTCCCTGTCCTCCTCATCCCTGCCTGAAAAGTTGCATGTGCCTTAAGAAGAAACATACAATTAGGTTGACCAGATTCATCCTGAATTCATTACTACAAATGCTCAGTGGGCCTCCCTATTGCCTAACAGTCCCGCTGTGTTTCCCTAGTCATTTCTCTTTCCCACTTCTTTCCCTTAAAACTCTAATGCTTTCTTCCTTCTATTGACGGCCTTGGTGCCTCAATAAGAAAAGTAGAATTAAAAGTTACTTAGGTTTTCATGACCAAATATACCATCCTATCTGCACCAGACCCACATTTTTGACTTTCTTTTCGGTTATAAAGGATGATGCCTTCATCAGTAAAACATGATGTAGTATCCTTCATATTAAAAAAAACAAAAGATCTCCTTTCATCCAATCCTCTCCAACCATTTCTCTATTTCTCTCTTCCCCTTTACAGAAAAATCCCTTGAAAGTACCAACTATATTTGCTGTTTTCAGTCTTTTCTTGTACCCACCACAAATAAGCCATTATTGATTCACTCCAAAATAACTACACCTATGAAAGCCACCAATGACCTCCACCTTGCCTGATACATTGGTCAGTTCTAGGCTCTCATCATATTTGACCTACTAACATGATTTAACACCAATGATAACATCCTACTTCTTTCTGCACTCTTTCATCCTACTTTTTTCCTCTCTATTCCAGGATATGACTCTCTCCACACTTCTTCTCTTTACTCTGTCCTCACTCAGTCCCTAGGTAAATCATGTAGTCCCATGGGTTTAAATGCTATTCATGTGCTACCGACTTCTCCTATCCTAGCCCTGACCTCTCAACTGAATATCAAGCACATTTCCCAAGTCCCTATTTGACATTTGGGTTTGGAAGTCCAACTG
Source organism: Homo sapiens (assembly GCF_000001405.40). Classification (NCBI taxonomy): domain Eukaryota; kingdom Metazoa; phylum Chordata; class Mammalia; order Primates; family Hominidae; genus Homo; species Homo sapiens. The sequence continues at coordinate 53,322,151 of NC_000002.12, forward strand.
GGTTCTCAAACCTTAACATATGCAAAACTGGATGTTTTGATTCAACCTTACAGAATAAAATCTTCTTCTCACCCACCTACCTTCTTCAGTTTCTCAGACAAAAACCTTGGAGTCATATTAGATTCTCTTATCTAACACCCCACATCCAATCAATCATCCAATACTTCTGCCTGAGCTTTTGAAATATATCCAGAATCTAATCACTTCTCAACACTTCCACTACTAACTACCATTGAATAGTTCTCAAAGTATAAACCTCAGACCAGCAGCATCAGCATCACATGCAAATTTGTTAGAAATGTACATTCTTTGGCCCCACCAGACTTACTGAATCAAAACTCGGATGCAGATCAGCAATCTATGTTTAACAAGTCTTCCAGATGATTCTGAAACTAAAGTTTGAGAACCACTGCCATAGGCTACACCACCATCAACTTTAAGCCAGACTGCCCAATAGACTTCTAAGGCACCACCTTGCTTCCACCTTTGCCTCCTGTATACTATTCTTCAAACAACAGCTAGAATGCTTTTCAAAATGTAAATCAGTTTATGTGACTCCTCCCCTCATCTTTCAAAACGTCCCACTAACCCTTGAAGCAAAATACAAACTCCTTACCATGGTTCACAAAACTTTACATAATCTGACCCCCCATTGGCTCTCTGACCTTATCTCCTATCCTGGCCTCTCCATTTATCCTGCCCCACAGCTTTCCCATAAACAAGTCAATCACAGACCCATTTAGACTCTTTGTTCTGATTATTTCCTTTGCTTATCACACCCTTCCAATATATGAATATCCCAGTCTTTCTTTTTTTTTTTTTTCATCATTTAGAAACAACTTTTTTTTTTTTTTTTTTTTTTTTTTTTATTGATCATTCTTGGGTGTTTCTCGCAGAGGGTGATTTGGCAGGGTCATAGGACAATAGTGGAGGGAAGGTCAGCAGATAAACAAGTGAACAAAGGTCTCTGGTTTTCCTAGGCAGAGGACCCTGCGGCCTTCCGCAGTGTTTGTGTCCCTGAGTACTTGAGATTAGGGAGTGGTGATGACCCTTAAGGAGCATGCTGCCTTCAAGCATCTGTTTAACAAAGCACATCTTGCACCGCCCTTAATCCATTTAACCCTGAGTGGACACAGCACATGTTTCAGAGCGCACCGGGTTGGGGGTAAGGTCATAGATCAACAGCATCCCAAGGCAGAAGAACTTTTCTTAGTACAGAACAAAATGAAGTCTCCTATGTCCACTTCTTTCTACACAGACACAGCAACAATCTGATTTCTCTATCTTTTCCCCACATTTCCCCCTTTTCTATTCGACAAAACCGCCATTGTCATCATGGCCCGTTCTCAATGAGCTGTTGGGTACACCTCCCAGACGGGGTGGCGGCCGGGCAGAGGGGCTCCTCACTTCCCAGAAGGGGCGGCCGGGCAGAGGCGCCCCCCACCTCCCGGACGGGGCAGCGGCCGGGCGGAGGCGCCCCCCACCTCCCTCCCGGACGGGGCGGCTGGCCGGGCGGGGGCTGCCCCGCACCTCCCTCCCGGACGGTGTGGAGCAGTCTTTCATCTGTTTTAGTTCTCTGCGCAAATACCACTTACAAGAGACTTTCCCTGTCCACCATGTCTAGAAAGCTATCTTCCAGCAGTTACTCTAATGCCCTTATTTTTCCTCATAGCATTTATCCCCATCTGACATATAATATGTTCATTTACTTTTCCATTATTTGTATCATCCTACTAGAATGTAAAATTCAGGATGATAGGACATTGTTTTGTTTATTGCTATATTCTCAGTGCCTAGAACAGTATTTAGTATAACAAATGTTTTTGGATACATGCAAAAATATGGTTCACAAAATATTCAAAGTCCTAATAGATAGCAACTGATTAATTGACCTAAGTCATGTACCTGCTCCTAAGTATGCCAGTGGGGTGTTTAAAAGTATCTGATCCTTCCGGGTTTCTTGGGGGAAGGTACAACACTGTGTACCACCAAGTCTATATAAAATAGGAGAACCTCCCAAAGGGGCAGCAGCTCTTAATTACAAGAGGAGGAGTGCTTATGGATGTGGACAGCTAAAAGCAACAAATGGCTACTACAAAAAAAATGTGCTCCAATAAGAAATGGTAAACAAGGTAAAGTCAAAAAATAGACCAAAGATATTAGACTCTAGAGATATTATTCAAAGATGTGCTCCATGGAGCAAATGCATGTATCAGTCACACCATTGTCAAGCAGCTTTTAAAAGCATCCCAAAAGTTAGTGAAAAATACTGTACATGGAAAAAGGGTAGAATATCAACATTATTAAGTAACCTATGAAAATATCCCACAATATAATCATATATGGCAGACTAAATAATGGCCCTCAAATGTATTCAAGTCCTAATCCCTGGAATCTGTGAATGCAGCCTTATATTGCAAAAGGGCCTTTGCAGATGTGATTAATTAATGCTTTTGAGATGGGGAGATTATGCTGAATTATCTGGGTGGGCCCTGAATGTCATCACATGTGCTCTTCAGAGAGGGTGGCAAAGGGAGATTTGATACAGAAGAAGGAAATGTGACTTTGAAGCAAAATGCTAGACTGCTGCCTTTGAAAATGGAGGAAGGGGCCACCAGCCAAGGAATGCAAGGCATGAGCTCTAGAAGCTGGAAAAAGCAAACAAATTGATTCTCCCAGAGAGCTCTGGAAAGAGGCAACTCCTTGGTGACACCTTAATTTGGGCCCAGTAAAACTGATTTTGGAATTCTGACCACTGTAAAAGAATCAATCTGTGCTAGCTTAAGCTACAAAGTTTGCAGTAATTTGTTACAGCAGCTGTAGGAAATTATGCCATACAAACAATGAGGGACACAATTACTGTCGCACAAGTGTTCCAGTAGACATTTGAATTTGGAGTTGAATAAAATCGCTGATGCTCAGAGTGTGAATCTGTTATTGACATAGATGTTATTCTTATACAAGGGAGATACACCAAGTACCTTTTTGCTTTAATGCTGAAAAATCTATGAGTTGCAACATAGATGGAGAAAAAATACATTGGGACCAGAACTGATCAACATCATCTATGGAATATACAGCAATGAAGAACATTACTAAGAGAATTTAAAAGTTTCTCCTGAATGACATGGCCCTTTCAAAGACAAGTTTCAGTCAACTGCTCTTAATTCGGTATTAAAGTAAATAGGATAGATACAAACACAAATTAAAGCCACTGAGCATATCACATTTCAGTGGACTATACAAAGAAATGAGCATGAATACGCGCCTGTTGATCAACACTGGTTTATGCTGACTGTTAAGTGGAAAGGTACTCATATGCATTTTGAAAATTAAAGATAAAAATATTTCTTTATGACAAAACTAGATAAAAATAATTCTATTATTTTATATGACTTCATTAAGTAGTATATTTCAGTAATACATTCAAAATATTTCATAGCCAGAACCTAAGTATTCTAAAATAGTATGATTTTTTTTTGAAATATAGAGGATAAAACTAGGCTTTCTTTAAAAGGATCAAACCAATATAAATAACTCAATCTAAGATAATTTTGTATTTTTCCTAATAGTTACTTTTTTCACTACTGAGGAAAATAGATAATGATGAACTACTGCATGTATTTTTAAGTGTCACCAAATGTTTCAATAGAATGTGAAATTTTACAAAGCTGAATAAAACAAGACTGAATATCATCCACCATTATTTCTAAGAAGTATTCAGTCTGTTTTCAAGGGTAATATGCTCATTGAAATACTCAAGCATTTGACCAAAAGCTAAAGTCTTTGCTGAAAGATCTCTATATAATTTGAAATGAATATTCCAACCAAAAAGTTCAACTGTCTCACAATGCCACCATATGACAGTTGCCTGTTTCAATGATCTATAATAGTTGATGTTTTCTAATATAGAAGCATAGAAGGAATAAGAGAAAAAAATAGATATGAGATGTGATCTATGGCTTCAGGTAGCTATAATTTAATTATATACATATTATTCAAAGACTGAAATGATATTGGTACAGTGAGTAGCTAGTTCAGCAGAAGCAGGGGAGGACAGTGCTGTCCCCCTCCCCCAACACACACACCAGGAATGCCAGGCAATCATCAAGAGATCATCAGGTAGTTGTTAACTGTCTTGCTAAAATAATAATTAGTCCCAGCTGGCACCACGGAAAGGCAGCTCTCAATAAATAAAAAACACCTCAAACATGATCAGCAGCCTCCCAGTAAGAACTCAGGAGTTGGGCTACTGGGCTCAAGCATGCACATTAACAGGCTAAATGGTGATGTTTAACTGTGTATGACATTCCAAAATGAAGAGAAGAACACCTCAAGTGAGCATGTGTACAACTCCAGTAAACCTGCTATCAGACCACTGCACAGGCAGATGCCCACCTCAAGGGAAGAATCAGGGGAGAAAAGACACAAGACCCCAAAGCATGCCAATCTATAAAACCCCAAGTCAGTCAAACTGTGCACTTGATCTCTCAAGTCACCCGCTTGGCGCTCTTCCAAGTGTGCTATACTTCCTTTCATTCCTGCTCTAAAGCTTTTTAATAAACTTTCACTCCTGCTCTAAAACTTCCCTCAGTCTCTCCTTCTGCCTTGTGCCCCTCAGTCAAATTCTTTCTTCTGAGGAGGCAAGAATTGAAGTTGCTGCAGACCCATGTGGATTTGCTGCTGGTAACAATATCATCCCACTAATTGAATAAAGTAAAAATGCTTTAACTCTATAAATTTCATGCTTGCATTTTTACTCTATAAACTTGTTTATCTAAAATTGATAATCTGTTTGTATATTTAAAAACATAAAAACATAATCCCAGCACTTTGGGAGGCTGAGGCAGGCCGATCACGAGGTCAAGAGATCGAGACCGTCCTGCCTAACACGGTGAAACCCTGCCTCTACTAAAAATACAAAAAATTAACCAGGTGTGGTGGTGGGTGCCTGTAGTCCCAGCTACTCAGGAGGCTGAGGCAGGAGAATGGTGTGAACCTGGGAGGCAGAGCTTGCAGTGAGCCGAGATTGCATCACTGCACTCCAGCCTGGGCAACAGAGCGAGACTCCGTCCCAAAAAAAAAAAAAAAAAAAAAAAATATATATATATATACACACACACAAACATATATATTAAAACATATAAAATTATATTGTATATTTAAAATATACAAAAATATATCATATATTAAAAATATACAAAAATATATTTAAAAATATACAAAAAAGTATGCTCACACAGAGAGGTTACTTTCCAAAAAAAAAAAAAATGAACACCTGGAGAACATTGAATACTTGTAGATTTCAGAATCTTTCATTTCTCTCCTATTTTCCTTACTGTTTCTCATGGTATCTTGCCATCTATTCTGAGATGTTAGTTCCCTAACTTCTCATTCATTTGAAGTGCCAGCTGGTTACTTGCCCAGCTCGGTCCTTTGTTCTTTTAATTCTAGATTGTCTTCCTCTCATATTTTCCCAAAAATAATCATAAAAATATTTCTAGTCCCACATGCCTTTCTAGAACTTTGCCACTCCCTGTCAAGAGGTATAGTCTATTTCTCCTCTCCTTGAACCTAGGTTTAATTTTATGACTGCCTCATTGAATAAAATGTATTATAAGTGATGCTGTATAACTTCCAAGACTAAGTCACAAAAGATTATTTGGTTTCCACCTGTCTCTTGCTTTTGTGATGCTTGCTGTTAGAACTCAGCCACCAATCTCTGAGGAAGTTTCAACTAGCCCATACAGAAAAACTATATAAAGAGACCCACATAGAGAGGATCTGAGACATCTTTCAATAGTTATCATCAAACACTAGACGTGTTAAATGAGCAAGACTTTAGATCAGGGTATCCAATCTTTTGGCTTTTCTGAGCCACATTGGAAGAAGAACAATTGTCTTGGGCCACACATAGAATACACCAACACTAACAACAGCTGATAAGCTAAAGAAAAAAAATCACAAAAACCCCTCATATTTAAATTAAGAAAGTTTATGAGTTTGTGTTGGGCTGCATTCAAAGCCATCCTGGGCTGCATGCAGCCCACAGGTTGGACAAGCTTGCTTTACATGATCTCAGCCCCTTACCTTTGAGATGCCCCAGACGACATAAAGTGCACCAGATATGAGCTATCTCCACTGAGCCTTGCCTAAACTGCAGTTTCATGAGCAAAATAAATATTGTCAGTGTCTTAAGTCACTGAATTCAGAGGTTGTTGGTTATACCAGCAGTTCTCAACCTTTTTGGCATTAGGGATAGGTTTCACCGAGGACAATTTTTCCATGTACCAGGAGGAGGAGCGCAGATGGTTTGGGGATGAAACTGTTCCACCTCAGATCATCAGGCATTGGATTCTCATAAGGAGCGCCCAACCGAGATCCCTCGCATGCACTGTTAATAGGGTTCGTGCTCCTATGAGAATTTAATGCTGCCACTGATCTGACAGAAGGCAGAGCTCAGGCGGTAATGCTCACTCACCAGCTGCTCACCTTCTGCTGTGCAGCCGGTTCCTAAAAGGCAACAAATCATACTGGTCCACGGCCCGGGAGTTGGGGACCCCTGGGTTATACAGCCATAGTATCTGGAACACAGCCAAGAGGTAACTTGAACTAAGCCTTGGAAACAAGAAACTAAGTACTACTGTGGTATTATGACATATATATGTATCTCATTTTATATATACGTAGCCTTTCATTCATGGTTCCTGGTTCATAACTCTCATAGCCCTTGTTATAATGTTAGAGTGCTTTAGGCCTCAAGAGAAGGCCTCAGAAAACAGAATCTCTGTCTCTGTCTCTCTTTCTCTCTGACCTTCTCCTGCCCTCTTTTCACCTGCTCCTTTTTCTCCCCAAGGTTTAACCAAGCACCAAGTTTATTTACCTTTTGAAGGGATATAGTTCAGGAAATGTAGCAGAAAAATAATTGGCATTTTCATCAAAAAGTATTCTAAAAACCTAGGTACAGCTTCTAGACTCCAGCCCTAGATGGACACAGTTAGTTGCAAGAGATAATGTTTACATGGGTGGACCAGCTCCACAAAGAATATCTGCTAACTATGTTCTTCATTGTTTTTATGTACAGTCCTAAGTCATGTAGCCTAGCAGGGTCTGTGTGTGAATTTAACATTCCGCCAGTTGAGGGGTAGTCCATAAATCAGGTGTTGTACATTAAGCAATGATAACAAAGTCCTGATACTGTTAACATTTCAAATCTGGATCAACTTGGTATAATTTCAGAAACAGTGTTGCAAGGAGTTAAGGTCGCCTTCCAAGACGTTCTTGGATGTGGAAAAAAAATGATCCAGACTATTGTTAACACATTCACCCACACTCACACAGTAAAACCTTCTCCAACATAAAGCAAATAAATAAAACAATAATTGCATATGTGATTTAAAAATCACAAATCTCAAACTAAAAAACTCAGATAGAAACAGACAAAAAATAGGAAGGTGTGACAAAAGAGATGATCAAACACCAGAAAGAAACCGAAGAAAAAGATAAAATCAGCTCAAAACTAAAAAACATTATTCAAAAGGCGAGGAGCAGTGGCTTACACCTGGTAACCCTAGCACTTTGGGAAGCCAATGTGGAGGAATCACTTGAGCCCAGAAGTTCCAGACTAGCCTGGCCAAGATGGTGAAACCCAGTATAAGCCGGGTGTGATGGCACGTGCCTGTAGTCTCAGCTACTCAGGAGGCTGAGGTGGAAGAATTGCTTGAGCCCACGAGGTACAGGTTGTAGTGAGCCAAGATCATGTCACTGCACCCCAGCCTGGCTGACATAGCAAGACTCTGTCTCAAAAGCTACAAAACGCCCAAGGGAGAAAATAGATTAAAAATTGAAGGTATGGTAAGGGATACAGGGGATAAAAATAAAAGGAACCTTAGAAAACAAAATGACATAAACAGAGAGGCAACAAAGTATCTGACAGAAAGAGATAAATATAGAAGAAAGGCAAAACGACACAACATACTACAAATTAGGTCTCCCTATGAAGAAAAACAAAGGGATAGAACAGAGTACTTTAAATTATATCCAAAGAAACCTTCCCAGAAATAAAAGGCATGAATCAATTTAGTAAGAGTTCACCATATACTTGAGAAAATGGATAAGGGTGGTCAACTTTACGACATTATTATAAAGCAACTATTAGACTTTAAATATGAATGTTTTAATCCTCTAAACTTCTTAGTAAAATGATTATGTCACCTACAAATTTTTTTAAAGACCATGTTGCCAGCAGCATATATGTATATTTTTAAAGCTAATGATGTAGCAATATTTTTTAAATGCAAGAAAAGACAGTGTGATTCAAGCATTTTATATCAAATCAAGCTGTCCAACTGTAAAACTAAACATACAGTAACATCCAACCACAGTATTACTGGGGACACTTCTGTAAAACAATTAATGAAGAACACTTACAACATTTAATTGTAACTGTAATACCAAAACAAAGGCATAATACAGGAAGAAGAATGCCATGTAAATGGTATCTGTACAGGAAAAGGAGAAATAACAAAGTCTAACAGTAAAAGAAAGAAGTAGAACAAGCTAACTATTTCCAGTTGAGTGATAGGGGGTAGTAGAAGGAAATGATTTAAGAAGGCAAACCAGTTAGTAGAATCGTAAAGAGGAAAAGGGTCTAAAAGCAATACAAAAATATTAATATAAAGAAAAGTAGTATATAAAAACTACATACCTTCCTAAATACCAAAAACATATAAAAAATTCAAAAATTGAAAAATAAATTAAATAATACATAGAATACTATCACAGAGGTAAGGCTCAAAATACAACAACAAGAAGATAATTAGACATTCCTGTGTTTTGAAACTTAAAAAATAGGTTAAAGAAGAAATAACAGAAAATAGAAAATATTCAGAAAGGAATACAACAAGAAGCTGCCTAATAGAATTTTTGGATATTTCTAAAGCAGTAATCAGAGAGAAAATGTCTTAAATACATATATTTGTTCAAAAAAAGGATAAAAGTCAATGAACTAAGCATCCATCTTAAAAAGTTACAAAAAATAAAATATACCCAAAGATACTGGAAAATAAAGAGAAATAAGTGGCAATCATATCAATAAATGTAAATTCTCTACTCTCCTATTTAAAGATTTTAGAATGGCTAACAAAGAAAAATCCAGCACCATTCTGTGCATAAAAAACATCCCAAACAATATGATTTTGCAAAGCTAAAACTAAAGAATGGATAAAGATATACTTGGCAAATGCAAAAAATAAGAAAACAGAGGTTGTAGTCTTAATATTAAACAAAGAAAGTCCAATTCTGGCCCCAAAACAATTAATGAGACACAGAAAGACATTTTATAATGCTAAAGGCCATAGTCCACAATGAAAACATAAAAAGAGTATGTATGAATATATATACCAAATAAGCAACATAAATGCAAGAATACAGAATAGACTGATAAATAAGAGACTCTAACACCATAGTCATGTTCTAAGAAGGTTAAGGGGAAAAAAAGTGATTAATAACGTATGATTTGTGAAGCTTTCTTTGCACCCAGTAACAAAGAATGCATCCTCTTTGCAAACATGTATAAGCGTTAAATTACATGCCATAAAACAAAACATATATTTTATCTGGTGACCATGAAATAAAAATAAAAATTAATAATAAAAATTGTTTTTAAAGCAGTCTTTTCATCTGGAAATTCAGAACCTTTTTATTAAACAATGCTTAGGTCAGCAGGAAAATTCAAATCGCAATTGTAGAATTTCTATAATCTATGGAAAACAAAAGCAGTGATCAGATGAAAATTCATAGCCTTAGATACTTATAACAATAAAAATGGAAAAATAAAAATGTACAAATTAAATTACCAAGTCAAAACAGCTAGTCAAACAACAAAGTAAAAAAAATTAGATACTAATGAGGTTAAAAAAACTATTTTAAAAAATTAAATAAAATAAGTGACCAGAAAACTTAATTTAAAAAGTAAAGCATAGATGGAGGAAATGTTTAAATGATGGCAAAAGGGAAAATTACCTTTAAACATAAAGAATTTCTTTTAATCACAAAATCTACTTTGAACAACTCTAAATCAAATTAATTTGAAAACCTAAATGAAATGGATAATTCCTTTAAAAATGACAACCTACCTCTTTGAACTTAGTGCAAATAAAAAGTTTAAAGAAAACAACACTCTCCAAAAGAGAATACAGAACTGAAACAATAAATAGGCAAATCGTGATAGAAGATTATAACACATTAATTTGAGAATAGAACAGGCTGACAAAGTATCAGTAAAAATACAGTTTACTTGAGCAATATTATTAAAATTGAGCTAATGAACAAATGAACAATCCACTCCAAATATTTCAAACATGCATGCTTTTTGTGCACACCTGGAATGTGTTTGGAAATTGACTACACAAGGACCAATAAAGGAGTCTCAAAAATGTTAAAGGATTAAAATCTACAATAACATTTTAAACCACAGTGCACTAATTTGAAAATACAATAACAAGAAGATAATTAGACATTCCTGTGTTTTGAAACTTAAAAAATAGGTTAAAGAAGAAATAACAGAAAATAGAAAATATTCAGAAAGGAATACAACAAGAAGCTGCCTAATAGAATTTTTGGATATTTCTAAAGCAGTAATCAGAGAGAAAATGTCTTAAATACATATATTTGTTTAAAAAAAGGATAAAAGTCAATGAACTAAGCATCCATCTTAAAAAGTTACAAAAAATAAAATATACCCAAAGATACTGGAAAATAAAGAGAAATAAGTGGCAATTAATTAAATAGAAAATAAAATAGTATAGAGGAAAAAAAGCTGAAAGTTCTGTGAAGAGATTGCTAAGACTGACAAGCATCTGGCAAGGTCAATCAAATAAAAGGAAAATAACATATGGAATGAAAAGGGAGACATACTACAGATGCTGCAGGCATATAAAATGAAGTAAAATAATTTTATTAACAACTACACTGAAAATTTAAACAAAATGGACTAATTCCCATAAAAAATCACTTGCCAAAGTTAACTCAATAAGGAATGGAAAATCTAAACAGCCTTAAAACATAAGTATTAAAAAAATTGAATGAGAAATATAAAATGTTTTCACGAAGACAACTTTAGGCTCAGGGAGGTTTACCAGCAAATTCAACCAGCATGGAAGATACAACAAATTTTAAGCTTTCACAAACTGTTCCAGGGGAAACACTCCCCTACTCACTTTACCAATTAAAATAATTTTTATGCCAAATCCAACAAGAACAATGCAAAACGGACTATCACAGGCCTATTTAAATTAACGCAGGTGCAAAATCCTGAACCAAATATTAGCAAAACTAATTCAGCAATATATAAAGAAGATAATATATCCTAACCAAGTTAGGTTTATCCCAGGAAATGTAAGGTTGGTTTAATAAGAAAAAGATAAATTAACGGATTAAAGAAAAAAAATCATATAATTATCTCATTTGGTACAGAACAACTATTTGATAAAAATTAAGCGTCAATTGTGTATTAGTCCAACCGAGTAATTAAAGGAGGTTTAATTGACTCACTTCTGAAAGGCTGGGGAGGCCTCAGGAAACCTACAATCCTGGCGGAAGGCAAAGGAGAAACAGACACTTTCTTCACGAGGCGGCAAGAGAGAGAAAAGAGCGGTGGAGAAACTTCCAAACACTTTACAACCATCAGTTCTCGTGAGAACTCACTCACTATTAGGAGAGCAGCATGGGGGAAACTACCCCCATAATCCCATCATCTCCCTCCCTCCACACCTGGGCACTACAAATCAAGATGAGATTTAAATGGGGACACAGAGTCAAACCATATCAAATTGATAATTTAAAAAAAAAATTAGTCTAATTTCCTAGCAAGGAACTTCCTTAACCTGATCATGGATATCTGCAATGACGAAACTACAGAAAACATTGAATGGTGAAATGCTAAGGCTGTTCCTTTAACATCAAGAAAGTGCTCCATTCTCTTCCCAAGAAGAGAAACTGCTCGTCTTTCTCTGTACTTTCTCCATTACTGATTTCACCCAATCACATGCCATATTACTGTAAGTAAACAATAATACAATGTATATCTGTAATCCAGATTCCTCCCCAGGCTTCCATACTGATATATCAAACTACTTACTAGAAATACACTTGGATGTCCGTTTTAGTGTGTCTGAAATGTGACTTCAGTCTCCCCATCACTGCTACCACCACCCACTAACAACAGACCTGCTCCACCTGCAGTCTACAGAATCAGACCGCTTCTCCTCACCTCAATTACTACCACTTGGGTCCACACCGACAGCCTCTCTCTGTATTGCAATAGCCTCTTAATTGGTCTCCTTGCTTCTGGCATTGCCTCTCAACAGTAATCGAGAGAATCGAGAGGACAAAGTGATCCTAGGACAATGTCAGTCAGAGCATGTCCTATGGCTCCCCATTACATTCAGAGTAAAAACCAAAGGAAATTTTATTCCACCAGGCCCTGCACGATATTTACCCCTTTCTCCCAGAATACACCTTCAACTTCATCTCCTACCATTCTATCCACTTGTTCACTCTGCTACAAGCACATTAGCCTCCTTACTGTTTCTTAAAAATACCTGGCATGCTTCCATCTTGGGGCTTTTCACGTCTGGTTTCCTCTGCCTGGATGCCTTTCCCTAAATACTCAAATGTGTCACTTCTCAAATGTTTGCTTAAATATCATTCAAGTAAGGCCTATCCTGACCTCGCTAAGATTTCAACAAGGTCCCCAATACTCTGTATGATTTTTTCCAAGCTACTATAAAAATGTGTTTATATGCAACGGTTATTCTGTTCTTCATCAGAATGTTAGTTTTATAAAGAGAAGTATTTTTTTGTTCTCTTGTTTAGAGGCATATTTGCAGTTCCTAGAACTTTATCCAGCACAAAATAGGCACACAGTAAATATTTACAAAATCAATACATGAATGAGTATGCAAAGCAAAGGTGCTTTTGGTTACGTACAAAAATTGTTTCACCTAAAATTCTGAGTTGAGGTTTTTAAATCTCTGATAATCCTTGCTAGTCATTTCAGTACATTTCTGACATCTGCAGTGCATCCCAAAAATCAGGCTAATAGAATACTGAAGGTAATAAATTTCTGTATTGATTTCAAGACTTTTAAAAATTGAGTTCAACACTAAATCCATGTGTCATAAGAAAAATGAAAATTATGTTAAAAAATAAAAAATTTAAAAAATGGCTGGACACAGTGGCTCACAGCTGTAATCCCAGCCCTTTGGGAGGCTGAGGCGGGCAGATCACTTGAGGTCAGGAGTTCGAGACCAGCCTGGACAACATGGTGAAACCCCATCTCTGCCTAAAAATAAAAATCAGCTGGGTGTAGCACGAGACTATAGTCCCAGCTACTCAGGAGGCTTAGGTGGGAGAATTGCTTGAAACCCAGTGGGCAGAGACTGCAGTGAGCTGAGATTGCCCCACTGCACTCCAACCTGGGTGACAGAGTGAGACCTTGTCTCAAAAAAAAAAAAAAAAGAAAAGAAAAATTAAAAAGCATTCTAGGCAAACCTTACAGTTATTGCTCTATGTATTCTTTTCTATTTCTATTATTTATGGGTTGGGAAAAAAAACTTTCTAAGACATGAAGTGCTCTAAAATCTAGTGTTCTATAGAATTCCCCTTAGCAGAGATTAAATCCTCTTTTCTCATTAGAAGTAATATTTCATTGTTTAATGTTATGGGATATTTTATTGAGTTATTTATGAACAGTGAAATGCATAGAGTTTAACTGGATAGTTCAGGAAGTTTTTAAAAATATAAACATATGTGTAACCCAAATCCCTATCAAAGTACAGAACTCTTCAACCCAGAAAATTCCTTAGTATACCCTTCCACTGAACCCCTGCTGCAGTTCTGATTTCTTACACCAATGGCTAGCTTTGCCTGTTCTAGCATGTATTCTTCTATGTCTGCATTTCTACACTTACCATGTTTTCGAAATTCATCCACGCCATTGCTTGTGTCGGTGGTATATTCATTTTTATTAGTCAGTGGAATTCACTGAATATTCCACGATTATTTTACCTGTTCTCCTATTGGTAGATTTTCTTTCTAGTTTGGGGCTATTTTGAATAAAGCTACTTCATGCATTCTTTCTTTTTTAATAGCTTTATTAAAATAAAAGTGACACACCATACATTTCATCCATTTAACAGGGAATTTGCACCCAGTGTGCAATCCAGTGGTTTTCAGCATATTCAGAGGTGTGCAATCATCACTACAATCAAGTTTAGAACACTTCACTCTTCCAGAAGAAACCTCATACCTATTAGCAGTCACTTCCCATTCCCTTCCCCAATACCTCCACCAAATTCCCACTGCCCCGGGTCCTTGTAATCACTAACCTACTTTCTGTCTCTATAGCTTTACCTATTTTGGATACCTAATATACATGTAATCATAAAATATGTAATCTTTTGTGACTGGGTTATTTCACTTAGCAAAATGTTTTCAAGCTTCCCCCATGTTATAGCATGTATCAGTACTTCATTCCTTTTTGTGATCATGTAATATTCCATTATCTGGATATAACACATTTTATTTGTCTATTCATCCTCAAATATAGAATATTTTGTGCTCCAAGTTTTGACTATTCTGAATAAAGCTGCTATGAACAATTGCCTACAAGGTTTTCTTTTTAAAAAAATTTTTTTAAATTTTTTATTTCCATAGGTTATTGGGGAACAGGTGGTGTTTAGTCACAGGAGTAAGTTGTTTTGTGGTGATTTGTGAGATTTTGGTGCACCCATCACCCAAGCAGTATACAAGTTTTTCTGTGGAACTGTCTTCTTATTTCTCTTGAAAAGATACCTAAAAGCAGAACTACTAGGTCATATGGTAACCCTATGTTTAACATTTTTGGGAACCACCAGACTCTTTTCCAAAGTGGCTGCACCATTTCACATTCCCACCAGCGATGTAAAATGGTACCAATTTATCCATAATCTTGTTATTGTCTGTCTTTTTTATTATAGCCACCCTATTGGGCATGAAATTGTATCTTATCATGGTTTTCATTTGCACTTTCCCTAATGACTAATGATATTGAGCATCTTTTCATGTCTGTTAGCCATGTGCACATGGTCTTTGAAAATACATCTATTCAGATCCTTTGCCCACTTTTAATTGGGTTACTTACGTTTTCATTATTGTTTTGTAAGAGTTCTTTATACATTCTGTACAAAAATCCCATATCAAATATATGATTTGGAAATTGCATAGTCTATGGGTTGTCTTTTTACCTTAATAGCATTTAAGCAAAAAAGCTATTAATTGTGGTGAATCCAATTTATCTATATTATTGTTGTTGCTTGTACTTTTGCTGTCATAACTCAGAAACCATTTCCTAACTGAAGCTTATAAATATTTACTCCTCTTTTCATCTAAAGGTTTTATCCTTTTGATCCTTACATTTAGGCTGGTGAGCCATTTTGAGTTAATTTTTGTGTATGGGTTGAGGCAGCCAATTAATTTCTTCTGCCTGTGGATATCTCGTTTCCCAGAATCACTTAATACGATTCTTTCCCCCACTGAATGATTTGGGTACCTTTGTTGAAATTAGTTGACTAAAAATGTAAGGGTTTATTTCTGGACTCTCAATTCTATTCTGTTAATCTATGTGCCCATAATTATTCTAGTATCACACTATGTTGATTACTATAACTTTACAGTAAGTGTTGAAATCATGAAACATGAGTACTCCAACTTTGTTCTTCTTTTTCAAGATTGCTTTGGCTATTCTGGGTCCCTTAAGTCTCCATACAAATTTGGATTATCTTGTCAATTTCTGTCCCCCAAAACAGCAGCTGGGATTTGATTAGGTTCCATTGAATCTGCAGAAGAATATTGCCATTTTATAAAATTTAAGTCTTTCACTTTTTTTACCATGGATGTCTATTTATTTGGATCTCTTAAAATTCCTTTCAACAATGTGTGGTAGTATTTAAAGTATAAGTCTTAAACTTCTTTTGTTAAATTTATTCGTAAGCATTTTATTCCATTTTATAGTATTGTAAACGGAATATATTCATTTCATTTTCAGATTGTTCATTGCCAGTACATAAAAATACGGTTGATTTTTGCATCTTGATCTTTTAGCTCACAACCTTGCTAAACTTGTTTATTAGTTCTAATAGTTTTTTAGTGAGGTTTTTAGTATACTCTGTCTATAATATCATATCATCTGCAAACAAATAGTCTTATTTCTTCCTTTCCAATATGGATATTAGGTGCATTTTGTTTGCACAAGTCTATTTCTGGGGATATACTTTTGTTTTTCTTAAGTACTTAAAAGTGGATTGCTAGGGCATAGGGTGTCGTTAACTTTATAAGAGGCTGCTAAACTAGTTTCCAAAATGTGTTCTATTTTGTTTTGTTTTCATTTTATATCTACAATGTATAAGAGTTCTTGTTGCTCCACATGCTCCCCAACATTTGGCATTGTCTTTTATGCTGCTGTTAGCCATCTCAACATTAGTGTGCATCAGTGTGTGGTGATATATCATAGTGATTTTAGTTTAGATTTCTCTGATGATCAATAATGCTAAACACTTTTCCATGGACTAATTGGCGATTTGCTTAGCTTTCTTGGTGAAGTGTCTATTTAAATCTTTCATCTATTTTTTGGGAGGATTGGAAATATTCTTGTTATTAAATTATAAATTGTTTATGTAATCAAAATAAAAATTTTTTTCAGGCCGGGTGCGGTGGCTCACACCTGTAATCTCAGCACTTTGGGAGGCCCAGGCGGGGGGATCACAAGGTCAAGAGATCGAGACCATCCTGGCTAACACGGTGAAACCCCGTCTCTACTAAAAATACAAAAAATTAGCCGGGCATGGTGGCAGCTGCCTGCAGTCCCAGCTACTAGGGAGGCTGAGGCAGGAGAATGGCGTGAACCCGGGAAACGGAGCTTGCAGTGAGCCAAGACCGTGCCACTGCACTCCGGCCTGGGTGACAGAGTGAGTCTCTGTCTTAAAAAAAAAAAAAATATTTTTCACATTTCTATATTGTGGATACTTTATGTTAATCTGTGGCTTTCGTGTACATTTCCTTAATGATGTCTTTTGATGAGCAAAACTTTTCAATGTTGATAAAGTCCAATTTATTACTTTTATCTTGTAAGGTTAGTGCTTTCTGAGTTCTGTCAAGAAAACTTCTAGGTCATCAAATATTCTTCCATGTTTTATTTTATAACCCTTATAGCTTTGCACTTCATGTTTAGGTTTATGATTCATATCAAATTAATTCTTATAAATGGTATGATATAGGAATTGTGGTTTTTTTTCCATACAGATATCCAGTTCTTCCCTATTTGTTGAAAAATTGTCCTTTCCTCCACTGAATTAATTTGGTGGCTTTGTCAAGAGTCATTATAGCACAAATTCAAGATTCTCTGTTTGTCATTGGAACAGATTTCAGTAATATATTTGTTTTTATATCAATACCATCTTGCTTATTATAACTTTCTAATAATCTAAAATAAAGTAGTCAAAATACTCAAACTTTGGTGTTTTCTTTCTCTTAGTCTTTTAAAAAATTATATTTTTAATTGACACATAATTGTACACATTTATGGGGTACACTGTGACGTTTTGATACATTTATACATTCTGTAATGATCAAATCAAGGTAATTAGCATAACCACCACCCCAAAAACTTGTCATTTCTTTGTGGTAAAAACATTCAAAATCTTCTCTTTAACTATTTTGAAATATACAGTACATTTTCATTGTATTGTCACCTTACTATGCAATAGAACATCAGAATTTATTTCTCCTATGTAACTCTAACTTTATACTCATTGACCAACCTCTTGCCATCCTCCTCATTCTCTCAAAAAACAAATAATCTGAGTTTTTTCAATGGGCGAAAGATCTAAATAGACATTTTTTTAAAAACTTTTATTTTACGTAAGGTAAACTCGTGTCATGTGGGTTTGTTGTACAGATTATTTCATTGCCCAGGTATTAAGTCCAGTACACAATAGTTACTTTTCCTGATCCCCTCCCTCCTCTCATTTTCCACCCTCCCACTAGGTCCCAGTGTCTGTTGTTTCCCTCTATGTGTCCATGTGTTCTCATCATTTAGCTCTCAATTACAAATGAAAACACGCAGTATTTGCTTTTCTATTCCTGAATTAGTTTGCTAAGGATAAAGGCCTCCAGCTCCATCCCTTTGCAGGGACATGATCTCATTCTTTTTTATAGCTGCGTGTCATTCTATGGTATATATGTACCACATTTTCTTTATCCAGTCTACCATTGATGGGCAGTTAGGTTGATTCCATGTCTTTGCTGTTGTGAATAGTGCTGCAATGAACATTTGTGTGCATGTGTCTTTATGACAGAACAGTTTATATTCCTTTGGGTATATAAGATACTGCCAAACTAGTTTCCACATTTTGGAAACTGATTCAGCTTTGGAACTTGTTATTGATCTGCTTAAGGATTACACATTTTGGAAATTAGTTTGGCAGCAGCTTATATACCCAAAGGATTATTGGGTCAAATCGTAGTTCTGTTTTTAGGCCTTTGAGGAATCGCCACCCAGCTTTCCACAATGGTTGAACTAGTTTACACTCCTACCAACAGTGTATAAGTATTCCTTTTTCTCCACAACCTCACCAGAACCTGTTATTTTTTTACTTTTACTAATAACCATTCTGGCTGGTGTGAGATGGTGTATCATTGTTGTTTTGATTTGCATTTATCTACTGATCAGTGATGTTAAGCTTTTTTTCATATGCTTGTTGACCACATGTGTGTTTCCTTTTGAAAATGTCTCTTCATGTCCTTTGCCCACTTTCTAATGGGGTTGGGTTTTTTGCTTATAAATTGGTTTAAGTTCCTTATAAATGCTAGATATTAGACTTTTGTCAGATGCATAGTTTCCAAAAGTTTTCTCCCATTCTGTAGGTAGTCTGTTTACTTTCTTGATAGTTTCTTTAGCCATGCAGAGCTCTTAGTTTAATTAGACGCCATTTGTCAATTTTTGCTTTTGTTGCAATTACTTTTGGCGTCTTCCTCATGAAATCTGTTTGTTCCTATGTCCAGGATGGTATTGCATAGGTTGTCTTCCAGGGTTTTTATAGTTTTGGGTTTTACATTTAAGTCTTTAATCCATCTCTAGTTAACTTTTTATATGGTATAAGAAAGAGATCCAGTTCCAATTTTCTGCATACGGCTAGCCAGTTGTCTCAGTACCACTTATTGAACAGGAAGTCCATTCCCCATTGCTTGTTTTTGTCAGCTTTGTTGCAGATCAGGTGATTGTAGGTGCATGGCTCTATTTCTGGGCCCTCTATTCTGTTCCATTGGTCTATGTGTCTGTTTTTGTACCAGTACCATGCTGTTTTGATTACTGTAGCCATGTAGTACAGTTTGAAGTTGGGTAGTATGATGCCTCCAGCTCTGTTATTTTTGCTTATAATTGCCTTGGCTAGGCCGGGCGTGGTGACTCACGCCTGTAATCCCAGCACTTTGGGGGGCCAAGGCAGGTGGATCACAAGGTCAGGAGATCAAGACCATCCTGGCAAACATGGTGAAACCCCATCTCTACTAAAAATACAAAAAAATTAATCGGGCGTGGTGGTGGGTGCTTGTAGTCCCAGCTACTCAGGAGGCTGAGGCAGGACAGTGGTGTGAACCCAGGAGGCGGAGCTTGCAGTGAGCCGAGATCACACCACTACACTCCAGCCTGGGAGATAGAGTGAGACTCCATCTCAAAAAAAAAAAAAAAAAGAAAGAAAGAAGGAAAGAAAAAAGAAAAAAAGAAAAAAAGAATTGCCTTGGCTATTTGGGCTCCTTTATGTTTCATATGAATTTTAGAATACCTTTTTCTAGTTCTGTGAAGAATGTCATTGGCTGTTTGATAGGAATCTATAAATTGCTTTGGGCAGAATGGCCATTTTAACAATATTGATTCTTCCTATCCACAAGCATGAAATCTTTTTCCATTCATTTGTGTCATCTCTGATTTCTTTAAGCATGGTTTTGTAGTTCTCCCTGTAGAGATCTTTTACCTTACTGGTTAGTTGTATTCCTAGGTATTTTATTCTTCTTGAGGCAATTGTGAATAGGACTGCATTTCTGATTTGGCTTTCACCTTGACTGTTGTTGGTGTACAGGAATGCTAGTGATTTTTGTACATTGACTTTGTATACTGAGAGTTTGCTGAAGTTTTTTATCAGCTTAAGGAGCTTTTGGACCAATATTATGAGGCTTTCTAGATATATAATTACGTCATCTGCAAACAGGGACATTTTAACTTCCACACTTCCTATTTGGATGCCCTTTATTTCTTTATCTTGCCGCATTGTTCTGGCCAGGACTTTCATTACTATGTTGAATAGAAGTGGTAAGAGAGGACATCCTTGTCTTATGTAGGTTTTCAAGGAGAATGCTTCCAGCTTTTGGCCATTCAGTATGTTGCCGGCTGTCGGTTTGTCATAGATGGCTCTTAGTATTTTGAGGTATGTTCTTTCAATACCTAGTTTATAGAGATGGTTTATTTTTTAATATGAAGTGGTGTTCAATTTTATGAAAAGCCTTTTCTGCATCTATTGAAATAATCATGCAGTTTTTGTCTTTAGTGCTGTTTACATGATGAATCACATTTATTATTGTGTATGTTGAACCAACCTTGCATCCCAGGGATAAAATCTACTTGATTGTGGTGGACAAACTTTTTAATGTGCTGTTGGATTCCATTTGCCAGTACTTTGCTGAGGATTTTTGCATCTATGTTCATTGAGGATATTGGCCTAGAGTTTTATTTTTTTTTTATTGCGCCAGGTTTTGGTATCAAGATGATGCTGGCCTCATAGAACGAGTTAGAAGTCCCTCCTCAATTTTTTTGAATAGTCTCAGTAGGAATAGTACCAGGTCTTCTTTGTAAATCTAGTAGAATTTGACTACAAATCTGTCTGGTCCTGAGCTTTTAGGGGGTGGCAGGCTGTTTATTACAGATTCAGTTTCAGAGCTTGTTATTGGTCTTTTCAGGGGTTCATTTTCTTCCTGGCTCAGTCTTGGGAGGATGCAGGAACATTTCTTAAAATAAGACATACAAATAATCTACAGGGATATGAAAAAAATACACAGCATCACTCATCATCAGGGAAAGGCAAATCAAAACCAAACGGAATATCACCTTACCCCAGTTAGAATTACTGTTACAAGACAAAACAATGAATGCTGGCGAGGATGTCAGTGAGAAAGTAAATTAGTATAGCCATTATAAACAACATTATGGTGATTCCTCAAAAAATTAAAAATAGAACTACCACATATATATCCTAAAGAAAGGAAATCAGTTTATTGAAGAGCTATCTGCACTACAATGTTTATTTCAGCACCATTCACAAGCCAAAATATGGGATTGTCTATCAATGAACAAATGGATTTTTTAAATGTGGTATATACCCATTGGAAAATTATTCAGCCATAAGAAGAATGAAATCCTGTCATTTTCAGCAACATTAATGGAACTGGAAATCATTATGTTAAGTGAAAGAAGCTAGACACAGAAAGACAAAGATTGCATGTCCTCACTCGTGAGAGCTAAAAATCTGGATGTCATGCAGGTAGAGAGTGGAATGGTGGTTACTGGAGGCTGAGAATGGAAGGGGGAAATGGAAGATGAAGAGAAGTTGGTTAATGGATACAAAAATATAGCTAGATAGAAGAAATAAGTTCTAATATTTGATAGTACAATAGCCAGACTATAGTAAACAATAATTTATTGCATATTTCAAAATAGCTAGAAGAGAATTGTAATGTTCCCCACACAAAGAAAAAATAAATGTTTCAGGTGATTAATATCCTATTACCCTTATTTGATCATTACACATTGTATACATACACCAAATCATAAGTTCCCCAAAAATATGTACGACTATTATATATCAGTAAAAAATAGAACTGCTACATGATCCAACAACCCACCACTGAGGATATATTCAAAGGAAATAAAATCAGTATGTAAAAGAGATATCTGCACTCCCATATTTATTGCAGCACTGTTCACAATAGCCAAGATATGGAATCAACCTAAGTGTCTATCAACAGATGAATGGAATTTTAAAATGTGGTACATATACATAATGAAATGCTATTCAGCTATAAAAAGATTCACAAAAAAATATACATTCCTCCCTCTACTAGAATGTTACAAAATAAAAGGCTTTTATTTGCAACAACAAGGATGAACCTAGAAGACATTATATTAAGTAAAATAAGCCAAGCACAAATGGACAAATACAGCATGATCTCACTCATATGTGGAATCTGAAAAAGTTGATCTGACAGAAAGAGAGTAGAATTATGATTCTTAAACTTTGTTTTCTTAAAATAGTTTTAGATATTCTAGTTTTGTGCATTTAGAAATAAATTTTAGAATTGATTTGTCCGTCTGAACAACAAAACATCTGCTGAGATTTTGACTGAGAATGCATTAAATCTAGAAATTAGTTTGCAGATAATTAACATCTTAACACTATAGATTTTTTCCACACCATAAATATAGTGTAACTTTCTACTTATTTAGATATTTATCTCAAAATTTCATTTTGATATTTATCTCAAAAATTCATATATTTTATTGTAAAGGCTTTGTACATCTTTAATTTATCCCTAAGTATTACATTTTTATTGCTATTGTAAATGGAATTAGTGTTTATTTCTTTTTCATTTGTGAAACTTATATTCTAGTAGAGTAAGGAATAAGATAACCATAGCAATATAAATACAATTTAATGTTGTCTATTTTATTTTTTTAGCTCACTTTTTCTGTGAATAGAGACAATTTTACTTCCTTCTTTCCAATCTTGATGCCTCTTCTATATTTTGCTTTTTGTATTGGCTACAACCTTCAATAAATATGGAATCAAAATGATGAAATCACACATCCTTGCTTTTTTCCTGAACTTAGGGGAAATCTTTTGGTCTCCAGTAAGTATAATATTAGCCATAAGATTTTCATAGGTGTGCTTCATTAAGTTTCCTTCTATTCCTACTTTTCAGTGTGTTTGTGTATGTTTTTCTTATGAATTGGTGTTGAACTTTGTCAAGTGATTTTCTTTTGTGAATCTATGAGATGATCACATGATTTTACTCCTACAGTCTTTCAATGTGGTAAATTTTATTAACTAGTTTTTGAATATTAAACCAATCTTGCATTCATTAGATTAAACCCTCTTGGTCAGGATGCATTATCCACTCAATGTGCTAATATATGGTGAGTTTTTGCATATATAAATGAGAAAATGGGTTTGTAATTTTCCTGTCTTGTAATGTTCTCTTCTATTATTGGTAGATACTAGGGCTAAGTTGATCTCTCAAAATGTGTTCTTCTTTTCTAATTTCTATTTTTCTATTTTCTGTAGGACTCTGTATAATTTTAATATGATTTCTTCCCTAAAGGCCTGGAAGATTCAGTGCAGATTTTTAGTTCCTTGATAAGTTACTGCTGTTGGTACTCCACTTCCCTGTGCCATAATCAAAAAAGTGACCCCAGGTAAAAATTGGACTCATCTTATGGGATTATATTCTCTCAGGGCTCAAAGTCCTGCACTGCCTTTGAAACAGTTGTTTCAGAGATTTTTGTCCAATTTTATAATTGTTGATGGTGGTAGGGCTAGGTTTAGCAGTAGAGCACTTTGTCACAGCCAGTAGTAGATACTCATCAGGATGTTTGAATTTTTATTAAATTTTTAAAATAATTAATATAATCTCACAGTTTAAAATTGTCAAATGATAAAGGACGCCCAATCCAATAGTCAAGTTTGTTCAGCATCTATGCCAATCTTCTATACTGCATAGAATAGAAAACTTAGGAGCATTTAAACACACTCTTGAAGCTTGGGTTCCAGATATGAATTAGATTCTGCCAATTCCATATACTGTTATGAAAATTGCATTTGGAACTAGGACATGTGGAGAGAGATACCATGGGAATTTTCTTGATGGGAATGGTAGTAGCTGATTTCTAGATTGTAAAATGAAGGTAAGGTATTCCTGTAGCAAACAGTTGCACTCTCAGTTTCTGATCTCTGTATTGAAACCAAGTTGGTATGATTCTGGAACCACAGTGGAGTCTAAAGTTATCTAATTCCCAATTTCCCGATAGTCCAAGACATAATATTTCCCTTAGGTGCTCTCCTGGGAGTTTCACCTGGAAGCCTAGTCTAGAGTTTATCTGTATTTTTTAAATGTTGATTATCTGCAGAAAGCCCAAGATAATAGCCTGATTTCTCCTCAGGTTGTTCTTCCACATCTCGTTCCTGTGCTGTATGTCTGAAATAAGTAAAGAATATAATAAATCAGGTAAGAAATATTGATTTGCCTCTAATTTTACAAAAATTGCTGAGGACTATCATTTCATATGCCTGATTTGTCAAGTTCATGACATAGAAAAAAATGTAAGAATTATGACAAGTCTAGGTCCTCGAGACCTCTCCCAAACTTACAAATGGGTTTAATATTCTAAGGTAAATTGATATGGCTATTATCAAGTGATACTGTGTGTCATCTCTGCATTCACAGAACACCATCCTTACAGGAAAGGTGGTTTTATTGCAATGACAAAAAGATCACCTGTTTCTGTTTCTATTATACTAAACCACCTCACAGATCAGATTAGGGGAAAAAAGTGAGTCCATTCTTTTTTAATTGGTATATCATAATTGTACATATTTTGGGGGTACATGTTATATTTGATACAGGTATGCAGGGTATAATGATCAAATCAGGGTAATTGGAATATCTATCACCTCAAGCATTTATCTTTGTGTTAGGAACATTGCAATTCTTCTCTTCTAGCTGTTTTGAAAAATATAATAAATGATTGTTAACTACAGTCTCCCTACTGTACTATAAAATACTAGAACTTATTTATTCTATCTAACATATTTTTGTACCCATTAACCACATTCTCTTCATCGCCCACTCCCCTCTACCCTTCTCCAGCCTCTGGTAGCCACCAATCTACTCTCTACCTGCATGAGATCCACTTCTTCAGCTCCCACATTTAATGAGAACATGCAGTATTTGTTTTACTCTGCCTGGTTATTTTACTTAACATAATGATTTTCAGTTCCATCCGTGTTGCTGCAAATCACAGGACTTTATTATTTTAATGGCTGAATAATATTCCATTGTGTGTATATAACACATTTTTCAAATCCACTCATTTGTTGACAGACATTTCGACATCTTGGCCATTGTGAGTAGTGTTGCAATAAACATGGGAATGCAGATAGCTCTTTGATATACTGTTTTCCCTTCTTTTGGATACATAACCAGCAGTGAGAATGCGGGATCATATGGTAGTTTTATTTTTTGCTTTCTGAAGAGCTGCCATGTTTTCTATAATGACTGTCCTACTTTACATTCCCACCAACAGTGTATAAATGTTCTTTCTTGTCACCCTTGCCAGCATTATTTTTTGTCTTTTTAATAATACCCATTTAACTAGGGTGAGATAATATCTCAATGTGGTCTTGATTTGCATTCCCCTGGTGATTAGTGATGTTGAGCATTTTTTCATATACCTTTTGGCCATTTGTATGTCTTCTTTTCAGAAATGTTTATTCAGGTCTTTTGCCTGTATTTAAATTAGATTTTTGTTGTTATTGTTGTTGTTATTGACTCGTTTGAGTTCTTTATTCTGGTTATTAATCCCTTGTTAAATGAACAATTTGCAAATATTTTGTCTCATTCTGTAGGTTTTATTTTCACTTTGTTAATTATTTCCTTTGTTGTACAGAAGCTTTTTAGCTTGATGTAATCCCATTTGTCTATTTTTTTTTTTCTTTTCTTGCCTGTGCTTTTGAGGTCCTACCTAAAAAATCTTTATCCAGACCATGTCCTATGGCATTTCCCCTGTGTTTTCTTCTAGTAATTTCATAGTTTCAAGTCTTAAATTTAAGTCTTTAATCCATTTTGATTTGATGTTGGTATATGGTGAGAGACAAGGGTATGGTTTTACCCTTCTGCATATGGACATCCAGTTTTCCCAGCACCATTTATTAAAGTTCATGTTCTTTCCCCGATGTATGTTCTTAGTGCCATTGTTGAAAATGAGTTGACTGTAGATGCATGGCTTTATTTCTGGGTTCTTTAATCTGTTTCATTGGTCTATATATCTGTTTTTATGCCAGTACCATGCTGTTTTGGTTACTATAGCTCTGTAGTACAATTTGGAGTCAGCTGTAGTGTGATTCCTTTAGTTTTGTTCTTTCTGGTCAGGATGGCTTTGGCTATTCTGACCCTTCTGGTGGTCCTATGTAAGTTTGAGGATTATTTTTTCTATTTATGTGAAGAATGTCATTGGTATTTCAATAGGGGTTGCACTGAGTCTGTAGACTGCATCCGTGGGATGAATCCTACTTGATCACAGTGAATGATTTTTTTTAATGTGCCGTTGAATTTTGTTTGCTAGTATTTTGTGGAGGATTTCTGCACCTATGTTCATCAGGGATTTTGCCTGTTGTTTTCCTTTTTGGTTGTATCTTTGTCTGGTTTGGGTAATAAGGTCAATTTGTTAATGTATAAAAATTCTTGTACTATCCATATCATCTCCATATTGTAGGAGCAGTTAAGAGGAAATAAAGTATTTTAATGAGTAAATTTTCTAAAATTTCTGACAAAGGCAGTTTACCTTGGTCTGAAGATTAGATTTACACAAATTTAATGACCTAAAGAGCCACACCAAATTGGAAACCTGAATTTTACTCAAACAATAATTAGAGTAGGCCTAAGAAATCTTTTGCATCCACCCTAAAAATCCTTCCATTACAGTTGCCTGATAATAATAACACTTCATACTGTCAAGCTCTTATAAATATTTCTTGGTCTTATTATTAATAGGCCAAATCTGCCTTTGCAAAGAGTCACACCCATCCAAGTCCCAAACTTTAACCTGGATACTGAGACCCCAAATCAAGGGGCATGTATTAAAAAGTCTCATTTAATCCTTTTAGAATTAAACCACACCAAGTGTTCTTAACAATTCACATTGCCATAATTTGCCATAGAGAGGAACTTGGAAACTGACATCCCACTGCAAAAGAAGTTTCTGTACCAGTTTACAACCTAGTGTACAGATGCTTTCTTTTCATCATAAAGTGAATATAGTAATACTAACACTTGACAAAGCTCCTCTACAACTTACTTTAATGGGAATCTTATCTCTTCATGGAAAGCCAGCACTTTAAAGAGGTACACTGTGAACTTCACCTTTGGTAAATGATTGATATCTTTTCATAACACTCTGGTTCTTTAGGATTAAGATGGTGTTTACAACTGAGTAAAAAACAGATGGAAGAAATGTGAAAAACCACCTGGTAATGCAGGCCAAACACACTGTGTATGAGATGGGCCAAGCAACGCTGAATTAATCTTGTCAGTTAAATATTTAATGTGCTTGATTATATGCATATTTGTTGTCCATTTGTAGCTTCAATCGTGATCTTCCCCGTTACTCTGTTTTGTAGTATCTCTTCTAAGAAGTCCCAGCCTCGCCCTGACTCCAAATTACTTAGATTCCTAAACACAGTGGATGGCTAGTTGGACCTGACTGAGCTGGCTCAGAACAAATATTGTATTTTCAGATCATATCACTGCCCAAAGTCTTATCCTGCCCACCTTATCATTAAAGTCACTATAAGACTTCATTAATATCCCATTATTAACTTGAGTATGCTTCTCAGGAGGTTCCAAAGTGGACCTTCAGTAAAGCAAGCTGCTCACTAACCTAGAACACATCTGTTACTTCAAAAATAGATCAATTAATCAATAACAACACGCAGATCCAAATTAGTACCAAATTGTTGTTAATCTTTATCAAAATACATTAGATCCTAACAAAATTCAGTCAAATAAATAACTTGAAGTAAATTAGTAACATCTCTAGTGTATTCTTCTCAACTCTGCTCATAATTAAAAGGGAATAAAAATGTAGCAATGTCTTCTGCAACCTTACCAGACCACTATCCCACTTAGAAAATGGATGGATTTGTGCCTGGGGCCCAGCCAATGGAGATCAAGGCATGCATCTCCTCTGCATTCCAGTCAGACTGCTCATCTCATCTTGGTCTAAATTCACCTGAATTACCTACATATATTTTTTCAAAATAAGTCCCCCATTCATATATTCAAACCGAGACTCACTCTTATAATAAGCTCCCCCAATTGAGAATCTGATAATAGCAGTACACATACATATGTTGATAGATTGCTTTGATTTCTACTTCACATGTAAAGGAGCTCTTATATAAAATAAATTTCATGTAATAGGTAATATTATATTTACATTTTGCCAGATTCAAAAGTTATAGGGTCTGCATGATCTAAATTCAGAGCCTCTGTCATTGCTCAAATGTCAAAACCATAAAAGTAGAGCTGATAATTGGGATAACTGGGAAAAAATACCCCTAAAAATATACTTACTTCACGCAGTTGACCTCAGTATTTTGCATGAAAACTTTATGCATCCAACATCTCTTTGAAATCCTCACACCAGAAAAGTATCTCTGGTTTTAAAAATAATAATACGAAAGTTTCAATGTTGTGTTGTGGAGAGACTAAATGAAAAAGTCTCTGAACCGGGGGACAATGAGTATAGATAGCTGAGGTCTCTTCCTGAAAATTCAGTAAATAATCACAAGTCTGAATTTGGTACAGTAAACACTACACTTCCCTGACCCCTGTGAATCCTAGATTCATACCACCTCAGAAAGGAGGTTGAGGAGTCTTCTCCGGGGAAATTGACTAAAGTAAAAGAAAAGACATTGAGATTAAAATGTGAAGATCTCCTAACAAAATAGCCTGCTTACCCTGCCCTACCCCATTCATAAGAAGTATCTGATCCTTCCCAAGCATTGAGACTTCCCAAATGCACACTTCTCAAACATTCAGCCTTCAATCCTACATATAAATGGAGACCATTTGAGGCACATCTCTCACATAAAGCAGAGACCAAAGAAAAACAAAGCAAAAGAAAACAAAAAATAAGAATGTGGATGACACAGAAATAATGAAGGCAGAAGAATGAACCTTTTTGCAGTCTACAATTGTTATAGCCAAAAAGGAAAGAACAAAATGTTATTAAATGAGAAAAACACAGAGAAAGAAGATTCAGAGACATAAAGACAGAAAGAAAGTCCTGAAAATTTTCAAAACACATGATGAAAGATAATTACAAAAACAAATTAAGAAAAGTTTAATATTACACTGAGAAAATCTCCAATAAAGCAGAATATGAGGACAAAGTGTTTAGAAATAATAGAGAAAATATGGGAGTAGGATGATCTTCCGAAGCAGTTCAACGTTTGAATAGAAGTTTTACAGAAAGAACAGGAAAAAAACAGGGGACAAATTTGTCAAATAATTCAAGAAAATTTCCAGAACATAAAGTCATGAATTTACAGATTGGAAGGACCCACAGCATAACCAAAAAAACATGATTTTAAAAGACCTATATATTAGGGCATGTAGTCATGAAATATCAAGACACCAGGAATAAAGAATATTAGTTTCTAGAGATAAGTTAAAGGATGCATACAGAGGATTAGAAACTGTAATGGCAGAAGTTTCAGCAACAACACTGGATGCTAGAAGACAATAGAAAAATAATTCCAAATTATGAGGAAAAAAAATTCCCAATGTATTTCTATCCCAAATCAAACTATTAAATGTGAGCAAAAATAAAAACATTTACAATTATGAAAGCTTCTCAAGAATACATTTTCTTTACTTCTTGAGAAGCTGTTGAAGAACATATTGCACCCAAAAATGTAAAATAAAGCAATAAATGTAAAAACATAAGATCCAGGAAATAAGAAATCTGACTCAGAGTCTAGGCAAAGAGGGTTTCTAGAATAATGATGAATGGCAATGATGTATAGAAAGCCTAGAGATAGCTCCAAGAAGAATGTATTCAAGAAAAAGTTATAACTAATCAATTTTCTGATGTATCTAATCATACTAAAGCTATTTTATATATTCATAAATATTTACATTTATTTACATATTAGACCTTTGTCTCATTCCATGTTAGTATATGCAGACTGACTTAATTTTCTTCATTTTTAATTGACTTGTAACAGTTGTATATATTTATGGGGTTCAGAGTGATATTTTGATACATACATATGTATATGTATATATAAAATATGTAATGATTAAATCAGGATGATTAATATAGTCGTCACCTCAAATATTTACCATATCTTTGTGTTGAGAACATTCAGAATTCTCTCTTCTCCTATTTGAAAATATACAACAAATTATTGTTAACTATAGTCACCGTACAGTGCTATAGAAAACAAGAACTCATTCCATATATATAGAGAAATATTTATATATATCACACACACATGCACACATATTCCTCCTATATATAGTCCCCATATATGGGAGGAATATACGCACATGTAACTGTAATTTTGTATCACTTAACCAACAGTATTTCTACATCCTCTCCCTGGGCCCTAATAACCACACTTCTGTTTTCTACTTTAATGAGCTTCACTTTTTTAGGTCCTACATATAAGTGAGAACATGCAGTCTTTATTTTTCTGTGCCTGACACTTAACAGAATGTACTCCAAGATATTCATGTTGCTGAGAATGACAGAATTTTGTTCTGTTTTATGGTTGAACAGTATTTCACTAGGTATATGTACCACATTTCCTTTATCCCTTCATCTGTTGATGAACACTTAGGTTGATTCATATTTTGACTACTGTGAATAGTGTTGCAGTGAATATGTGAGCGCAGATATCTCTTCAATATACTGATTTCCTTTTATTTGAATAAATGCCAGTAGTGGGATTGCTAGATCATATGACATTTCTATTTTTAATTTTTAAGGAACCTCCATACTGTTTTCCATAATGGCTGTCCTACTGTACATTCCCACTAACACTGTATGAGCATTCCACTTTCTCTGCATCCTTGCCAGTATTTGTTATTTTTTGTCTTTTTAAAAATAACCATTCTGAGGATTAAGATGGTGGATGGGAAGCAGGACTAGCTTGCAGCTCTCAGGCTTGGACAGACAGAGCAGCATGTAGAAAATCACATCATAAATTTTGCTCCAAGAACTACTGCAGCAACATACCAGAAAAGCTGAGAGAATCCACCGACCCTTTGAAGGAACTGGATTGCCACTGCAGGCTCCCTGACATGCTGAAAAACTCTGAGTCTGCTTACTTTCTCAGCAGGGAGGCTGGTGGTCTGAGGTGAGCTCTCAGCCTTGGTCACTGGCTGCCTGGAAATAGACTTGGTACTGTTGAGGGGTACATAGTGGGAGTGAGATCGGCCTTTGGGACTGCAGGCTGTGTGGGAGCAGGGTGAGTCCTGTGACTGCTGGCTTTCCCTCACTTCCCTGATGACCTGTATGACTCAGCGGAGGCAACCATAATCCCCTTGGGAACATAACTCCATTGGCCTGGGAACCACACCCCTATCCCCCACAGCAGCTGCGGCAAGCCCTGCCCAAGGAGAGTCTGAGCTCAGACATGCCAATCTAATAGTTGTTTTGTTTTTAGTTGTTTTTTAACAGAGATTTATGGCAGGATTAGTTCCAATCATTTCTGTTCCAATGCAAGGCAGTTGTTGAAAGTCTAAGTCTAGTTGGCCCCTGAAATAGCACATAATGTTTTTGGGTGGTGAAGATGAGATACCTTTAACAATAAAGCTCCTCTCACAGTAGAGAAATGGCCACATGGTCATTAAAAATTATACTATGTCAACAGAATGAAACGCAAAACTATGTCTACCCTATAATTACATCATCGAAAGATTACATATGGGAGTGTAAAAGGCTGCAAATATTTTTAAAATACAAATATGTTAATCTATTAGTCAATAAAATTTATTTTAAATTTTGTTACTATTTTTATAATAGTGTTCAGACAATACATATTTCTTTCCAAAAAAATAGACAAACAATAACAGTAGTATAAACACTTTTGAGTATTAAGTTGCACAACTCTTGATAAAAGAATTCAGCAAAATTTCCGAATACAAAATTAATATACACAAATCAGTAGTTCTTCTATACACCAACAATGACCAACCTGAGAATCAAATTAAGATCTCAACCCCTTTTACAATAGCTGCAAAAAAAAAAAAAAAAAAAATACTTAGGAATATACCTAACCAAGGAGGTGAAAGACCTCTACAGGAAAACTACTAAATACTGCTTAAAGAAATCATAGATGACACAAAGAGATGGAAGTACATCCCAAACTCATGAATGGGTAGAATCAATATTGTAAAAATGACCATACTGCCCAAAGCAATCTACAAATTCAACACAATTCCCATCAAAATATCACCATCATTCTTCACAGAATAAAAAAAAAAATCTAAAATTCATATGGAACCAAAAAAGAGCATGCAGAGTCAAGGCAAGACTAAGCAAAAGGAACAAATCTGGAGGCATCACATTACCTGATTTCAAACTATACTATAAGGCCATAGTCACCAAAACAGCATGGTACTGCTATAAAAATAGGCACATAGACCAATGGAACCGAACAGAGAACCCAGAAATAAACCCAAATATTTACAGCCCCCTGGTCTTTGACAAAGCAAACTAAAATGTAAAATGGGGAAAGGACACCCTTTTCAACAAATGGTGCTGAAATAATTGGCTAGCCATACATAGGAGAATGAAACTGGATCCTCATCTTTTTTTTTTTTCCAACTTTTTTTTTTCTTTTTTTTATTATACTTTAAGTTTTAGGGTACATGTGCACAATGTGCAGGTTACTTACATATGTATACATGTGCCATGCTGGTACGCTGCACCCACTAACTCATAATCTAGCATTAGGTATATCTCCCTATGCCACCCCTCCCCCCTCCCCCCACCCCACAACAGTCCCCAGAGTGTGATGTTCCCCTTCCTGTGTCCATGTGTTCTCATTGTTCAATTCCCACCAATGAGTGAGAATACGCGGCGTTTGGTTTTTTGTTCTTGCCATAGTTTACTGAGAATGATGATTTCCAATTTCATCCATGTCCCTACAAAGGACATGAAATCATCATTTTTTATGGCTGCATAGTATTCCATGGCGTATATATGCCACATTTTCTTAATCCAGTCTATCATTGTTGGACATTTGGTTTGGTTCCAAGTCTTTGCTATTGTGAATAGTGCCGCAGTAAACATAAGTGTGCATGTGTCTTTATAGCAGCATGATTTATAGTCCTTTGGGTATATACCCAGTAATGGGATGGCTGGGTCAAATGGTATTTCAAGTTCTAGATCCCTGAGGAATCGCCACACTGACTTCCACAATGGTTGAACTAGTTCAACCATTGTGAAACACTATTAAAACCCGAATGAGTTGCCACTACATACTCACTGGACTGAAAAAAATAAATTAATGCCTGGAAAAGTAAGCATTTATTGGAGAGAATATGGAGGCCTAGAAACACTCAAACACTGCTTGTGGAAACGTAACTTGATAGAACTATGTAGGAAAAAAGTGTTGCTATCTACTAAATAGATGTCTACCAGTTGTTTCACTCATAGTATAGAAAACTATGTATTTCCGAGCCCAGAAGTGATAAATAAGAAGTTTAGCACAACATTTTTCAGAACAACCCCATCCTATAAACAACCCGAATGTCAGTCATAAATAAAAAAGATATTTTCTTTATCATATTCATGCATAAGAATGTTATAGAGCAATAAAACTTAACAAACTAGAGCAACCTACAATCATACAGATGATTTTTACAAACATAAACTTGAGCTCTTTAAAAAAATGGAAATACAAAAGAATATAAACAGAATGACTCCATTTCTATAAAGTTCAAAACCAGGCAAAACTACATTCTCTTCTTTGGAGAGAAATGAAAATAAAACTATAGGAAAAACAAAATAAATACAAATTTAGGATTGAGGTTGCCTCTGGGAAGAAGATAGGCTTCAAGGAGAGTGCACACAGGACTTTAAAGGTAATGCTAATGTTCTTAAAATGTGTGGTACACACATAGGTGTTCATTATTCTTTATGCCTAACTCATGTTGTGTAAATGTTACTTTGTTTCTGAGAGGTGACAACGTGCTAGCAGCTCTTGCTTGCTCTCGGCACCTCCTCGGCCTTGGCGTCCACTCTGGCCGCACTTGAGGAGCTCTTCAGCCCACCACTGCACTGTGGGAGCCCCTCTCTGGGCTTGCCAAGGCTGGAGCCGGCTCCCTCTGCTTGCGTGGAGGTGTGGAGGGAGAGGCACGGGCGGGAACCAGGGCTGTGCGCTCGCAGGCCAGTGCAAGTTCTGGGTGTGCACAGTCTCTGCAGGCTCCACACTCGGAGCAGCCAGCCAGCACCGCCGGCCCTGGGCAGTGAGGGGCTTAGCACCCAGGGCAGCAGCTGCAGAGGGGGCGCTGGGTCCTCCAGCACTGCTGGTCCACCTGCACCACACTTGAATTCTCGACAGGCCTCAGCCGCCTCCCCATGGGGCAAGGCTTGGGACCTGCAGCCCGCCATGCCTGAACCCCCTCGCAGTGGGCTCCCACGCGGCCCTGAGCCTCCCCAACAGGCACCGCCCCCTGCTCC
Organism: Homo sapiens; assembly: GCF_000001405.40. Taxonomy (NCBI): domain Eukaryota; kingdom Metazoa; phylum Chordata; class Mammalia; order Primates; family Hominidae; genus Homo; species Homo sapiens. The sequence goes on from NC_000002.12 coordinate 53,356,772, forward strand.
ACGGTGCCCAGTCCCATCGACCGCCCAAGAGCTGAGGAGTGCAGTCACACGGCATGGGACTGGCAGGCAGCTCTGCCCATGGCCCTGGCAGGGGATCCACTAGGCAAAACCAGCTTGGCTCCTGAGTCGGGTGGGAACTTGGAGAACTTTTATGTCTAGTTGGAGGATTGTGTAGGGAACTTGGAGAACTTTTATGTCTAGCTGGAGGATTGTATATGCACCAATCAGCACTCTGTGTCTAGATCGGGGTTCATGGATGCACCAATCAGCACTCTGTATCTAGCTAATCTGGTGGGGACTTGGAGAACTTTTACGTCTAGCTAGAGGATTGTAAATACACCAATCAGCACTCTGTGTCTAGCTCAGGGATTGTAAACGCACCAATCAGCACCCTACCAAAACAGACCAATCAGCTCTCTATAAAACGGACCAATCAGCTCTCTGTAAAATGGGCCAATCAGCAGGATGTGGCTGGGGTCAGATAAGGGAATAAAAGCAGGCTGCCTGAGCCAGCAGCAGCACCTTGCTAGTGTCCTCTTCCACACTGTGGAAGCTTTGTTCTTTCACTCTTTGCAATAAATCTTGCTGCTGCTCACTCTTTGGGTCCGCACTGCCTTTATGAGCTATAACACTCACCGCAAAGGTCTGCAGGTTCACTCCTGAGGCCAGCGAGACCAGGAGCCCACCGGGAAGAATGAACAACTCCGGACAGGAAGAATGGACAACTCCGGACTGGAAGAACGAACAACTCCAAACATGCCAGCTTAAGAGCTGTAACACTCACCACGAAGGTCTGCACCTTCACTCCTGAAGCCAGCAAGACCACGAACCCACCAGAAGGAAGAAACTCTGAACACATCCGAACATCAGAAAGAACAAACTCCGGACACACCATCTTTAAGACCTGTAACGTTCACCGCGAGGGTGTGTGGCTTCATTCTTGAAGTCAGTGAGACCAAGAACCCACCAATTTTGGACACATTTCTACTCAATATTTCATTTAAGAAACTTTGCCGGGTGTGGTGGGTCACACCTGTAATCCCAGCACTATGGGAGGCCGAGATGGGGGGATCACCTGAGGTCGGGAGTTTGAGACCAGACTGACCAACATGGAGAAGCCCCGTTTCTAATAAAAATACAAAAATTAGCCGGGTGTGGTGGCACATACCTGTAATTACAACTACTCAGGAGGCTGAGGCAGGAGAATCCCTTGAACCAGGGAGGCGGAGGTTGCAGTGAACAGAGATCGCGCCATTGCACTCCAGCCTGGGCAACAAGAGTGAAACTCCATTTCAAAAAAAAAAAAAAAAACTTTGATGACTTTTTGAGGTTGAAAAATTGTGACGGAACATACATGTATGATATTCATCACAAATTTGCCAGCATACCACCTTTACATGGAAAATGACCAGGAAGCATAAGTCAAAAACCCTTGAATTTATTATACAAAGGTGAAGGCAGAATATCTGCTACTCGTAGTAACTTACTTCTGACAAAGGATTCAGTATTTCTAGTTCCAAAGATCTGGACTGGTTATTTTCACTTCATAGTTTAAAAGATAATGTCATCTCTGATGGTTTTTCTGTATTACATCCCGAGGAGTTTGGGAGTTTTTAAGAGAGTCTTTAACCAAGGTGATTAAATTATGCCTCATCACTAGACAATTACAAAATATAGTGTGAACTGCTAAGAATCCTGGGAAACATGATTTAAGGATTGGCCAAAGAGGTTCACTAGTTTCTTGTTGTTTAACTTGGCAATGAGCGTTTACGAAGTCTATCTTGCTGAGACAGCACTAGATTAAGGAATCCTTGAAGTCTCAGTTCACACAGTGTTCTCTGTTTTCTTAAACCCTAGCACAATGCCTGGGATGTGTTTAATAAACACTTCTTGAATAAATAAGTAAATAACGAGTAAATGTAAGACTTCCTTTCTTCCTTTTATCATGTCTATCCAGACATGATAAAAAATCATGTAAGAAATCAGAACCTGGAAATACTTTGTCAAAAAAAAATTATTCTTAAAATGCATATAGGAAAAAAAGGGAGGGCTCCATCTATCTTTACAAGTTTTTTGATATAAATTATTTTTCTGCATAATTTACTGTTTTCTAAAGTCCAAGGCTATGAACAAAAAAGCATTATCAATCGATGTGCAGAGTGAAGACAACCTTATAAACTGAGAGACTGACATTCCTTCTGCTATGAACTAATATCTGAACCATAAGGAGTAAATCCTCTAGAACTACACTGTAATGATTTTTCAACTACATTGCTTTGAGATTCACAAAGTCTCATATGAAGGCAGAAGTTGGTGTCTCTATTGCCACTGCTCAAATGAAACAACCCTCTAGTATAACAGAAAGATGTTATCAGTTTTATTGAGAGAATTCACACACTAAAAAATTCATCCATTTAAAGTGTATGAATCAGTGGTTTTTGTATATATACAGAGTTGGGCCACCATAACCACAATCTAAATTTAGAGTATTATTTTTATTTTAAGATTAATCCATTTTGTATCTTCTATCAGTAATTCTTCTTATTATTATGGCTACGTAATTTTTTCATCATATAGATATACCCTGTTTTGTTTATCTACTCATAAAATGCTGGACAATTTGGTTGATTTCACTTTATGTCTACTATGAATAATACTAAAAACATTTTTATATTAGTTTCTTTGTACACATATTTTTTCTTTTCTCTTGAGAATGTACCTAGGAGTAGAATTGCTAGATCATAGGTTAAATCTACGTTTAACAGTTTCAAGAACTGACAGGCTGTTTTCCATTTTCCATTTCCAACAGCAATGAATAGGGTTCCAATTTCTCCATATGTCTGCTAACACTTGTTTTTTTTTGGGTTTTTTTTTTGTTTTTTTTTTTTTGCCTTTTTGATTATAACCTCCTGGTGAATATAAAGTGGTGTCTCAAGGTTTTGATTTGCATTTTCCTAATGATTAATGATGTTGAACACCTTATCATGTGCTTATAAGCCATTTGTATTTTTGGTGAAAAATAGCTATTTGTATTATTTACCACGTTTTTAACTGGATTGTCTTTTCACCATTGAGTTACAGTTATTGATATATTCTGCATAAAAGTCTCTTATCAGATATATGTTTGCAAATATTTTCTCCCATTCTGTGGGTCTTCTTTTCACTTTCTTGATTATGTACTTGTAGCCCAAAATGTTTAATTGGAGGTAGGAAATTTAAATTTTTTCCTCTGTTACTTGTGCTTTTGGTGTCATATCTTGAAAAACCATTGCTTAACCCAAGATCATAAAAATTTACTGCTACGTTTTTATTGAAAAGTTTTATAGGTTTGGCTCTTATATTTAAGACTCTGATCCACTGAAGTTAATTTTTTCTATGGTATGAGGTAGAGATCCAACTTTATTCTTTTGCATACAGATATTCAGTTGTCTGACACTATTTCTTAGATAGATAATTCTTTCTCCATTAATTGTTTTGAAATCAGGGAGTGTGAGTCCTCTAGTAGCTTTTCCTTTTCAAGATTTTTTGGCTATTCTGGGCGTCTTGCATACCATATGAATTTTAGGATCAACTTGGCAATATCTGCAAAAAAAGACAGCCAATATTTTGATAGAGATTACATTGAATGTGTAGATCAATTTTGGGATTATTTACCATGTTGACATTAAGTGTACCAACTCATGAACAAGGGATATCTTTCCATTTATTCAGATCTTTTAAAATGTATTCCAACAATGTTTTGTAGTTTTTGTATATAAGTCCTGCCATTATATTGTTAAATTTTTCCCAAGTATTTTACTATTTTTGATGCTATTATAAATGGAATTGGTTACTTATTTTTTTCAGATTCTTTGTCAATAGTATGTGAAAATAAAATTAATTTTATTAATTTTATTGATATTATATTCTGCAACTTTATTGAACTTGTTAATTAGTTTGACAGTTTCTTAGTGGGTTCCCCAGGATTTTCTATATACAAAATCATGTCATTTGTAAACAGAAATAGTTTTACTTCTTCTTTTCCAATATAGATGCCTTTTATTTCCTTTGTTGCCAAACGTCCTGGCTAGAACCTACAGTACAGTATTGAACAGAGGTGATGAGCACATGTGTTTTTGTCTCCTTCCTTATCCTAATGGGGAAGACCTTCAGGCTTTCAACATTATGTATGATGTTAACTGCAGGTTTTCTCAGATGTCCTTTATCAGATGTTTTCCATATCTAGTTTATTGTTTTGGGGAAGACCTTCAGGCTTTCAACATTATGTATGATGTGAACTGTAGGTTTTCCCAGATGTCCTTTATCAGATGCTTTCTATATCTAGTTTATTGTTTTTAATAAAGAGAGGATACTGTTTTCTCAACTGTTCTTTTTTATATATTGAGATGATCATGTACATTTCATCCTTTATTCTGTTTATGTGGTGATTTTCTTATGTTAAACCAACCTTGAATTCCTGGACTAAATCCTACTTGGTCTTAGTATACAATCCTTTTAAATTTCCACTTAGGCTCTTACACACCCCAACTGAAATTCAGCCACAAGCAGAATGAAATTGCCAAAGGACTGCTACTTTTTTCAGTAATGCCTTGGAGGTAGGACATTTTTACTAAGCTGAGGTTTCAGTCAGATCAAATAGCTATAGTATCCAGGAACAGAGATTTTCTCTAAAGTTGCATATTTTGGACAAAATGTCTACTGTGCTTTGGAGCAAGAACATTTAATGGAGCTCCAAAAATTGTCAGTCCTCCGTGGTTTCAAGAGTACCAGCAACTACCATGCCACTAAGCTGGGAAAGAGGGGATAACAATAGTGTCAAGTTAAAACATGAAAGACCCTACTGGGTTTTTTTTTAATTCGATATTCAGCGCATTGTTTTCCTTTTCAGTTTGTTCTGTGTCTTTGGTTAATTTCTAGAGTTCTGAAATGGTTGGCTTTAGTTTTGCTAGTATTTTCTTTGTTTTTAAGGGAAAGCAAGTTCAACAAGGTCCACACTCCACCAGTTTGGAAGATGATCTCCACCCATATACTGTTGCCTGACTTCAGAGGATAGTGTATGTACAACAGGACATGATAGTTGTTTTGTTTCCTTGTAGCGGCTTTGCATAATTTGTTATAGAAATTCAAAGTAGATGTAGACAGGGCCATTTTTTATTAATTCAGTCAACAAATATTTATAAAGTATCTACTAAATACCAATGAATAAGACCATATATACACCCTTAACAAGGGTAAAGTCTGGAAAGAGGAGAGAAACTAGCTCTTGTTGAGCATATACTATTTGCCACTACTATGCTAGATATATTACTATCTTAGCAGGAAAAGAGAAGATAAGTAGAATCTTCATCTAAAGGTCAAAACTTTAGGTTGAGTCATGAAGAAGAGTAGGAAATTATCAGCTAGACCTAGTGCAGAGAATATTTCTAGGTAGTGAGAACACTGACTTCAGATGATGAAAGATTATGTTTCAGTAAGGATTGTTATTGAAGGTCTGATAATGCCTGCCTATTTAGTGTAACTCAACCCAACACTATTTGGAGTAAACTTCAAAAAAAAAACAAAAAACAAAGTAACAAATCTATACTTAACCAAGATTTTAACACTGATACAAAAAAAAAGATAACTAAACAAAGATAAAACAAAAATAACTTTGTCATTATTATATAAACCTAAGAGTTTTATAACAATTAGGAGATGATTGGCTCTATTAGTTGTGCTGTATTGTCACAGTCAACTTCAGGGTCTGTAGGTATAAGTTCCTGTTTATTTCTGCCAAGTCAAAAACTAAATTAAAGTAGAATAAATTCCTTACAAAATTATTAGATCCAATTTTGTTTGAAAAATAATGTGGGAGGAATAAAAATAGGAAAATCAGCTTGGTTTTGACCTGCCATCACACACAGTCACAGCTGCTCTGATTAATGAAGATATTACCCGATTGGAAGAGCAGGTGAAAGAAACTCTTGACCTCAGAGAGCTGGAATAAGTTCATGTGGGAGTTGAAAAGAAGATTTTAAAATATCAAATATATCTTTGCCATCAGCTCTCATGGCATGGTATGCACCTCCAGAAAGAAAAATGGATCCTGTAAAGTGGAATTTGGACCAAAGCTGCCTTTGGTAAAAACAAATTAGAATACGTCTTTCACAAGACTTGAAATTCATTTTGCAGTATTTTCAAGTGCTACCAGTACTACCACCCTCTCACTTCAAATGCATGAAACCAATTCCAAATAAAAAGGGTTTTGAGGCATGCCAGTGGCTGGTACTAAACAATGTTATATTGTAATTATATATAAGACAAATAATAACTTAGCTCGGGGGGAAAGTCCAAAGACGAATTACCTACTGTGCCAGTTGAATTGTTTCTGTGATAAGTGACAAAAGCTATAACAATATGGGTCTTAAAGGATAAGGGCATTTACTACATCACTGAACAAGAATCTGGAAAGAGCTTGGTCCAGAGTTGGTTAATTTGGGACTAAATAACATAATCAAGGGCTTGAAGTACTCTCTCTTTGTACTTAGTCATTCTCAGAGTGTTGCTTTCATTAGAAAATTTGTTTCATCATGATCACAAGATGACTGCCATTGCTCTAAGAATCAATCCAATGAATTACCAGGTCCAAAGTCTGGTAGGTCAGCTACTTTACAAGTCTCTAATGGGGGAGAAGCCCGTAGCCACTGTATGTGACCACACAGGTTGTACACCTCACAACTCCAGAGGAGCAATCACACAACCCACAATGAGTATGGCAACTTACAGAGATGACCAAACACAGCAGTCCTAAGATATCCTTTTCAAGAATCCACCAGAATAAATCTCCCCAGGGTTGGAGACTGGGTCCTGTATTTATGCCTTGCTTGCTGATGAGCCTGGGAAACCAAGTTTCTTGCATGTTCAGTCTCTCTTGTGGAAGGCAGGCTCAGCCAAGCACACTCTGCCAGGAAATAAGGGAGAAAGAAAATGCTGCTGGCCATGTAGTCTATGCATCTGCCTTTCACTCGCCTGTGATTTAGTCCTAATATGACCACTCATTGGTTATGGCAAATACCCATGCTTCCAATTATCCCTATTGAAATATAATCTTTCATTCTTTTTCTTTAGTTTCATTATTATTGAATTCAAATTAAAAGTGTTGAACACTTAGTCAGAATGAAAATATATATAAGCAACTTAGTAAGATACAGCAAAAGCCACAAAAATATACATGGCTTTTGACCTGTAATACTACCTCAGAAAAATCAATCCAAGAAATACTTTAATATATGTGATCAAATTATATATAATAAACACACACACGTGTGTGTGTGTGTGTGTATTAGTCCATTCTCACGCTGCTATGAAAAAATACCCAAGACTGGGTAATTTATAAACCAAAGAGGGTTAACTGACTCACAGTTCTGCATGGCTGGGGAGACCACATGAAAATTATAGTCTTGGCGGAAGGGGAAGTAAACACGCCCTTCTTCACATGGCAGCAGGAGAGAGAAGTGCTGAGCAAAGGCGGAAAAGTGCCTTATAAAACCATCAGATCTCATGAGAATTTACTCACTATCATGAGAACTGTATGGGGGTAACCACTCCCTTGATTCAATTACCTCCCCTCCCTCAACATGTGGGGATTATTGTAACTACTATTCAAGGTGAGATTTGGGTGGGGACACAGCCAAACCATATCAATGCGCAAGAAAATGTTAATAACGAATTTTAGTGTTGAAAACTAAATAAGCAACTTTGAGGACATTTGGATTGTATATAGAAGTAATTTTGTTATTTTGATATTATCAAATAACTCAATGCACTCTTTAGAATTATCAGATAATACATACTTGTTGAACGGCAACAACATAGAAAATAGGAGTGAACAAATATAGACCCTACCCTGATGAGACCGGCGATTTATTAGGCAGGCACAACTTTCATGGTGTGATCTCAATTTAGAACAAATTACCAAAGTCTGGCCTAAGAAACTGAAGGACTCCTTTTAGAGAGACAGAGATTAAAGCTGAATATTGAGAATGAAAAAGAAACTCAGTCAAAGCCCTTGGAGATAGGAACTAATATCAAATTTCAGCAACAACATCTTACTTTTCTATAATGCTGTACAGTTTATGAAATGCATCTCCCTAGTAAAGGAGACCTTGTAATCTCCATTTTACAAGAAATGACAGTTCAGAGGAGTAAAGTAACTTACCTAGTTTCTATACAACCAGTAAATAGATAAAAATTAGACTCAAACATGTATCTAAAGGAAGGAGTTCAAGACCAGAAACCAGGAAATAAGGTGACGTACATAAGCTCCAATGCAAACAATCTTTTTTTTTGGTAGCCACATATTTTATTTTCTTGGTGTAATTATCAGTCTTTTAGGGGGAAAAAAGATCCTTGACTTAACTCTGACTTTTGACAACTAAACACATAAAAACATAATTAACAATAAAAGGGCACAATAGGTGCCAGAAGATTGGAACACTTCGGTGTTCAAGGCAAGATCTGTTTCTTCCTAATCTTATTTGTTCTTAATGCTGTCATTGACAGGAGTTTAGGATTTATCATTTTCCTTTCAAAGAACAGAACTCTGATGTATGTGCTGACTTGTCCCACCTCAAGTCATCTAGCAGTTGGAAAAATAGAACCCGCTGCATTTCAATCCAGGACCATTTTTTCGTAATAGAAGATTTTGCCATATTAATAAATCATTCTAAGGGCTATCTTCCCTTGATCTAGAGGTCATATTTTACAAGAGAAAAATATGTTTGGGGTTTCTAAGTAACAGCTTTTGCTCCAGGCAGATCTAACCAACCAGTTCCTTGGAAGCATCTGCTATTTTTCTTTTACATGGTGAAATACTACATCATGGGTTGAAGTACAGCACATGTTAGATTAAAAAAAAAAATGAGAGACAATTACCATATATTTTATAAACATCTACAATAATATTTAATTATTTGGGGCTAAATAAATTCTGTTATACTATTAAACCTGAGGATATCTGTATTTGGGTGGAAGTTGGAGACAGAAATACATAGCAATTGGTCACTTTAATTTTCACAAATTGGTTTTCAGTTTTTCTAACATAATAATTCCAATGCTTGCTTATTTTTTCTTTAGAGGATATCTGAAAATAACATAATTTCTTCTATAATTTCAAGTCGTTTTCTTTTTTAAAACCATAATTCTGTGTAGTATCTAGGGCATGGTGGCTCACGCCTGTAATCCCAGCACTTTGGGAGGCCAAGGCGGGTGGATCACGAGGTCAGGAGTTCGAGACCAGCCTGGTCAATATGGTGAAACCCCATCTCTACTAAAAATACAAAAATTGGCTGGGTGTGGTGGTGGGCACCTGTAGTCCCAGCTACTTGGGAGGCTGAGGCAGAAGAATCGCTTGAACCTGGGAGGCAGAAGTTACCGTGAGCCGAGACCGCACCACTGCACTCCAGCCTGGGTGATACAGCAAGACTCTGTCTCAAAAAAAAAAAAAATTAGAGGCTCTGTTTTTCCTAACATGTCATTAAACCACCTTTCAATTGTCACTCTTAAATCAAAAGTACTCCTAAATGTCAATCCATAAAAATTTGACAATTCACTCCATTATTCAGATTGTTCTTAAAGTGATCAACAGTGGGCTCTGTGAAACAACACACATTTCTCTCATTAAAAAAAAAAAACTAGTTTAATAATCTCAGACACTAATTTTTTACAGAAAATATTTTCATTCCTGCTGCTATGTAATTTCAACCACAGCCACTCCCAAGTATTTAAACTCACAGGACATGCTGAAATGAACTGTATTAATTAAAGTACATTATCAACCCTATCTACTCCTCCCCTAGATTACTAATTTGGTCCTACTTCAAAGGACAGAGCAAAGCAGTAATTGGTAGCTTTTCCAGGACTTAATGAGCACATAAACTTAAACAACCATGACAACCATTCCCACTTCGTAAAACATAATTTTTATGACTGCCATTCAAGTTTGCCCAGCCCTCAGCATGGTTTCCAGATTTACTTAACAGAGGATGATAACAATCATGCCGAGTTATAGCCTACCAAATATTAAGCTGCAAATCCATGCTTTATCTTAGGAGACATTAAAACCATGGCTCTATGTATAGATTTCCGGCATGGACTACATGGCATAGGATCCTCAACTCATCTAAAAGAGCATGAATTTCAATTCAGGGTTTGTTTTTTGTTTTGTTTGTGTTGCTTGTTCTAAGCAAGAGAGAGATGTAAATCAGATGTGCTGCTGACGATGGTGTTAGAGTATTGGTGAGGATCTGCAATCCACAGGCAGTACAAAGGGTTAGTAGACCTTTCAGTAACAGGAAATCAGAGGAGAAAATTGGAGCAAACGAGCCCAACAAGCATGTTAGTTTATTTCATCTTTCAGGGAAGAACTTTTAGAGGTACTTTTCTGCTAATTTATGCTCTAAAGCTGGCATTCCCATTTCTCTTCTCACCTGCCCCTGTTCTAAACAAGTAATCTATCATTTTAAACATAATGCTGCGTTAAAAAAAAATTAAGGAAGTCCCCAATATCTTAAAATAACTCTAACAGTGGCAATTGTCTGATTTTGAAAGGCCTTACTGTACATTATTCTGTGTTACTTAATAGTTACATTGCTGTGTTGGAAACAAGGATTTTCAGAGTTATAATGGCTTTTTCAAAAATCTCCTCATTTCTCTGAGCCTCCTGGAGAGGATGTACATTTCTCGATGCCTTTTCCTCATGCCCCATTAGGAAACGAATGGCTTCTGTGGATCCCACTCAATTTACAACTCAACTTTCTCTTTTTTTATTTTTGTAATTTTTTTGTTTTCATTTTTTGGCTTAAAACAACGGAAATTTATTGTCATAACTCAGGAGGTCAGAAGTCTGAAATCAAGGTATCCATAGGGTTGGCTCCTACTTTGGGGCTCAGAGGGAGAGTCTGCTCAACGCCTCTGGCCTAGATATGGTGGTTGCCAGCAATCCTTGGTGTATTTTCGCTTGTGGCAGCATCATTCCAATCTGCCTCCACTGTCCCTACAGCATTCTTCTGTGGGTCTCTATCTCTGTGGAACTCACCTTTCAATAGCAATGCAAGATTTATTTGGTTTCTACCAAATAAATCAGTAAGTTCAGAACTTACTGATGATGTACTCACATGTAGAAGACCTAGTAGTAAAGAGAAGTTCTTGAAATTTGACCAAGAATGACCACAGATCCTGTTTTTAACCATGCTGGTTCCATGGGTACTCAGATCTGAAATCTTCAATGTCTTAAAAAATGAATATTTCATATACATCTACCAATTGAGCCCTATGAATAGACATATAGAAATTAAAGTCAGATATCTCAAAGTTAAGTTTGTTTTAACTTTGACCACTGACCTTCCTTTCTATACTGATAACCAGAGTAATATTTTCAAATGAGAGATAATTTAAAATGCCAAGAAAAACAAAAAGCTCTATAAGAAATTAATGGTCTACATACAAAGCAAACTAAAATGTATGATTTTTTTAGCAGGAGTTGCATTATTTTTTTAAAAGGACATAGAGAATCCATTTGTCCTTGATAGTAGCAACATCTCCTCTTGAGTGGCATGGGTTAGTGTTTATAGATTACATTTTCTTAAAAGCCCAAACATACTAGATTTTGAAGTAAACAACACTTATATAATTATAATATTGTAAAACCTGCTTATTGAATTTTTGTTTTTAGAATCAATCTGTAGGATAAAGCATAGCAAACTTAATAATAATCATATTTGAAAAAAACTATACACATCTACACCGCTAATGCCATACATGAAAATAAACTCCAGGAAAGAACAGCGTATTTGAGATTTAAAGGATATTATTTGTAAAATTAAAAATAAGTGGTAGGCTGATACCAACCATGGTTAGAACTTCCCTAAATCAAGAAAACTGATAATTGACTAGAAAAGATGGGTAAAGTTTATGAAAGGATAATATACCAAAGAAATAAAAAAAGAGAAAGATTCTCAAACTCATTGGTAATCATGGAAAGGCAAATTAAGTCAACAATAATACATCACTTCTGTCCTATCAGATCAACAAAAATTAAAGTGACTAATAAAATCTCATTTACTATCAGTAGGCATGCAAATTGGTAATTTCTTCTCAGAATAATATGGCATTACCTACCACAACTTAAAATGTTCATATCCTTGACCCTTTGTTTCTACATGTGATAATCTGTTCCTTAATATTACTCAACCCAGTAACAAAGATGCAAATAAAATATTGTCACTGAACATTCTGTGAACACGAAAAATTAGAAACAACTATCTTTTAACAGCTGAGTGCCTATATTATGGTGCATTTATTTATATGCATTAACTGGAAGAAATATTTCTGATATATTGCCTGAACAAAAACAAGTATCAGTGCAATGTACATGGCTGTATGTTTCTATTAAAAACAAATAAACAAACAACAACAACAAAAAAACAGTGAACTGGCTTGGCACACTGACTCATGCCTGTAATCCCAGCACTTTGGGAGGCTGAGGAGGATCACTTGAGACCAGAAGTTCAAGACCAGCCCAGGCACCATGGCAAGACCCTATCACTACAAAGAAATTGTTTTCATTAGCCTTATATGGTAGTGCATGCCTATAGTCCAAGCTACTCAAGGCTGAGCCAGGAAGATCACTTGAGTCCAGGAGTTCAGGGTTACAGTGAACTATGATCATGCCATTGCACTCTAGCCTGGGCAACAGAGCAAAACCCTAATTAAAAAAAAAGTGAATAAACATCTGTATGTATTTTCTAACATGGAAATGATTGCAAGCACTATTAATCAGTAAAAAGTATAAGCCATGATGAATTTTTTTCCTTTTAAAGGTATATAAAAATTCTAGGTCACTAAGGAAGACAGAAGGAAGAATCACAATTTTTAACAAGAATGTATCAATTATTTTCTGTGAATTATTTTTTGCATAATAAGTAAAAGACAAAAGGAATCTATTACATATCAATATAGACTGGCAATAAAGCCATCCTAAAAAATAAGTAAAATGAACCAAGAACATGGGTGAAGGAGGAAATAACCAACCTGAACCGCAGGGCCTGACCTCTCCATTTCCATGCCAGCACTACTTAGCTGGGTTAAGGGTTGCCATCCTGCTCTTTCCAACATTCTAGGTTGAAAGTTTAAAATGTAAAGAATCAAATCTTGCAGAAGTGAATTTCTCCTACTTAAATTCATCAAAAGAAATGGTTATCCCTTTGAATTTGTCACTCTTCTTTATAAAATTTGATTCACTTGGCAATAAAATCCTGAACCAAGGGAAGACTAAAATGAAGCAGAATGTATCATTTAATGAGAAAACAAAGGTGAGAATCCTGCCTCAATTCAAAAATATCAACTATTAACCAATGAGGAGATGACACTAAAACACTAAATTACCAGAAGAAAATACTACAGTAAAAAGTACAGTAGCCAAAATAGTACATTCGTCAAATTGTTAAAGTAAAAGGGTATACAATTTTATTAATTAATTTTTGAGCTTGGACTAGACTTTTTTGAATACTTTGTCCATATTCATTTGATAAAGAACAGGCTAATGATATCCTGTTAGAGTAGAGTGGGGCACACATCTAATCAGAATAATTCATCATTGTGATTTTCCAAAGTTTCATATAGCCCAGGATATATCAAGGAATTATAAACAAATGAGAAAACCTTTAATTGACAGTTTTTAAAACAATGTCCAACTATGTCTTACCTGCAAAATGTCTACGAATTAATGACTTAAAGAATTATATTTCATAAGTGTATAATTAATGATAAGTCCTGCAGCAGCCACAGAGGCCAGATGACTGAAAACTCAGAAAATTTAGTTTTTATTTTAGTTAGGATGGCTAACTTGAGTTCTACTCAAGTTATGGCCAGGGAAAAAGTTTTTTCTGTATTTGATTTAAGTTTAGCCGAATAAAAATGGCATTTTATCCAGATTTAGACACAGAATATATCATAGAGACGGAAGTTATTGTCTTGAAGATATCATCTGAACAAGTTTCCTGAATTAAGAAAAGAGCTTTCATTCCCACTTTACAGATAAAGAAACTTGAATTTAAAGAAGAGATTACATGAAAAAAGTAGATTGACAACCTGATCTTCCTATAAGACCGCTGATACTTCCAGTCTACTATGTTATATATTCTTTTTCCAGATTTATTCTATGGTACCAGTGTGCATTGGCTGTACTATTTTTAGTTCTGGACAGAATTAATGGAATGTGTTAATAATGAGGAAGTGCATAAGGACAAGGCTGTAGTGCAATCTATTAGAATTAGTTAAGACAATCAGAATTTTCACTTTCCAGCCTTCCTTTCTAGTCTTCTCAAACCCCTGTACCTATAATTCACATAATTCATTCTAAGCATTTAGCTTTTGGGTATATTTCTCTTTTATCTTGGAATTTCATTTAAGAGAAATCTATAAACAATTAGAAGGAGACTACTTATTATAAAGACTAACATTTACTTTCTTTTCATCTGGTAGTGTGATGTATTTCTTCCTCTCCCTTTTAACTTTCTACTTTTGTTCTTATAAAGAATCTGCTTGCCTGGATACTTTGACTTTATGCTGCCCTATGAGAAAGGGCTTCTTTCTGTTGACAAGAGGATATATACAGAAATCTTAGAGCATGTTTTATTTTTTTCCATTATGCTTTTCAAATTTATTATTATTAAAAAAAAAAAAAAAAAAAAAAGGCCAGGCGTGGTGCCTCACACCTATAATCCTAGCACTTTGGGAGGCCGAGGCAGGTGGATCATGAGGTCAGGAGTTCGAGACCAGCCTGGCCAGCATTGTGAAACCCCATCTCTACTAAAAATACAAAAATTAGCCGGGCATGGTGGCAGGCGCCTGTAGTCCCAGCTACCTGGGAGGCTGAGGCAGGAGAATTGCTTGAACCCAGGAGGCAGAGGTTTCAGTGAGCCGAGATCACGCCATTGCATTCCAGCCTGGGTGACAAAGTGAGACTCTGTATCAAAAAAAAAAATTAAAAAAAAAAAATTCTGGATAATTCCACATTGCTTAAATGCATAAAACTCTGAAGAAATTCAAAGGTGAAAAACAGATCCTACTTCATATCAGATCAATAAGAAACCATCTAGCTTTGGACTATAAAAAAGCACCTTGGGTTACCTCTTCTATCCTTTTCTTATAACAGCCTTCTTTACTTTTACTGCTTCATCTGACTGTATTACAGAAGTGACTTTAATCTGTGGCTTTGATTAAACAACAATGGCAGCCAGAAGCAATGATATAAGGTTTAAGAGACTGAAACTGCTGAAATATTGAGCACATTTATTGTGTGCTGAAATAGATCAGCATAGTGCAGATAAAGCTTAGGAGACATGTCCATCTCCACTACAGAATTGAATTTAATGAAACTTGCTTGCCCTTGAGTGATATTTACTTTTGCTTTGACAGCTCAAGTCCTGTCAGAAATACTGTTTCTCTGGGATAATGTTGTAGTGATCATTATCTAGCTATTGGAAATCTTTGGTTGCACAAAGAGTTTGCTGAAATGGGATCTAAACTTCATGTTCTTCAAATCACTGAAAGGTAAAGAAAAAAGGATAGCTAACAAATAATAATTAAGAATATCATTGGTTGGGCACGGTGGCTCACATCTGTAATCCCAGCACTTTGGGAGGCCAAGGTAGGAGGATTATTTGAGGCCAGGATTTCAAGACCAGCCTGGAACAACATAGCAAGACCCTGTTTCTACAAAAAATAAAAAGAATATTATGTGGTAGGAAGGCAGCAACAGGAGTAATTGATCCTGCTTTAGAGTGTGTGGGTTGAGATGGGAAAGGGAAAAAAAGAGTATTATCTTATATTTATATTCCATCATTAATTTTTCAGTATATTTCTATATCTATTATCCTTACCACAATCGCAAGATATGAGTAGATTAAGTATGACTATATATAATTCACAGAGTAGTCTAAGGGCACATGGATGGTGAAAGAAGTGATACAAAAACCCATCTCTAACTCCTAATTTTTTATTCTCCTCGCTTATTTTTTGTTGTTGTTGTTGTTGTTCCATGTATTTATTCCTATTTTGGTTCCCAAATTCTTTTTTCTCTTCTCTTGGATCCTATATTGCTATTTCCTATTTTGGTTCTCATATTCCTGTGGCCCAGTTCATACCATTTAGGGTTAAAGTACCTAATTCAATGCTTGAATTGAAAGCACTCAGTAAATACAAATGAGATTTAATTGAAGTATTTATACAATCAGCAAGATTCACTCACTTTTGCTTTTTGTCTGTTGTGTTTCTACAAGAGTATCTCTAACTATTCCTTATTTCTGCCTGTTGTAGGTCTTTCATCTGAATCAGCAAGAAGATATACGCCTTTTTACAGAATACTCTGCACAGAGAAAATCCCAACCCTTCCTTCAAATACCATCTTTCAAAACATTTCTGAGAATGTCATCTCTTTTCCTTAGGCAATGGGAGTGCACTAAAATACACTCTTGATTTGTCCAAATAGCCTGGGGTAAGAATTTCCATAACAGACTCTCCACTGAATGTAGACAAAATTTTCCCCAAAGGGGACTCCAATTTTATCTGCCTTGGGAAATAGAAACTAAAGAGAGAAAGAGAAAGAAGATTTTCTAAAAATTCTCTGGATTCAGGAATTTAAGTGAAAGAAAGATGGTCTTGTCTACTCCAAGTCCCATTCAAACAATTGGATTTCCACTTGGAATGGTTGTCTCTTTAAACAAAGGTGTTATTTTAATGAACACGAAAGGAAGCATTTTACTTCCTCTTACACTTGGAACTGAAAACATTTTGTTGAGGAGAGCAGAAGAGGTAACATGTCACTGAAACTGAATTATAAGCATACTTACATAGAAATTGGGAATTTACATTGCAACTGAGTTTATTATCTTCTTTGATTTAACATTTACTGACTTTTTTAAAGGAATCCGAATACTCTTCAGACATCAGACGCTTAGAGAAGCAGTCCTCACATTGCATCAAAACCTACCAGATTTTAAAGATTAAGCCTTTTGGATCATTTAAAGTGGTAGGGGTGAGTGGTTGCAAATCCTCATCTATACTTTAACAGCACTTTAATATTTTAGTTACTTTAAACCATACCTTTGCTAATTCCAATCAAGTTACATTGAACCACTGTAGCCACTACATTGACCATGGCATCAAAGACAGGAAGTAATTATAGCTTTTTAAATAATATCTTCTAATCTATGCTCTTACTAAGTTTACAGTTCATTCCAATACTTTTAGCATTGGCAGAAAGCTCTCACAGGCTTTTCCCTCTTACCACCCTCAGTTTTCCTTCTACTCTTTACATATTCTTATTGAAATATTTTAGTTGCCAAGAGTATCCCCATTAGTGAAGACCTTAATAAAATTAATTATAACTGGTAACTTGAATAAAAGTCTTTTTTTAGGAAAAAAAAGGTAACATTTTCTATTTTACGCTGAATTTAAAGAAATCTGCTTCTGTAACAGTATTTCAGGTTTCTGGCAGCTCATCCTCCAGTTACATTTAAAATTTAAAGGAATAAATATTCATCTTTAATGAGATAGCATGAAAGCACTTCTGTGTAATCAAAAAGGAATTCATTTGTAAATTTGAAACTTTTTTAACAGAAAGAAAAAACCTAACAAAGAAGCTTTGACCTGTAAAGAAACATTCAATCTTTTAGAACTATTTTCTAAAAATGCACACACTGCATTCAATGTAGAGCTCAAACATGCCCCAAGCACAGAACTGAGAATACTAATCTAACTTGAAACTATAGAGTTTAAGGAAGAAGTTTTACATTTTCTACTAGGAAATTCAGTCTGGGGATCAAGAGGACCGGGTTTTTAATCCGTACCCTGCTACAAATCTCTGACTTTGGGCAAGTCACTTCACTGGCTTGAAGGGTGGTAGACATTCTGTTATATTAGGCTGCTTCCAGCCCTATCATTCTAATATTCATAAATTATAATGGATGTCCAATTGTCTTTGGTTCTTATAATAAAGCTACCCAGGTCAGATAAGTAATGTGTTGCTGAAAGGCAGTCAATCCATGAAAAGTATCTAGAGCTTTAAAGTAGAAGAGACATATTTAGTACTTTATGTTTCATTTGAGTTTTTACCAAATTGGTCAATTTATTTATTCAACATGCATTACTCCAGGTAATCTGCTGAGGGTACAAAGTTGAATAAAACCCAGTTCCTGCTCTTGACAGTTTCATGGTCTACTGTAAAGGAAATAAGGGTGAAAACACATCATAGCAACAATGTGATAAGTGCTATAACAAAGGTATGAACCAGGAACAAAGATAAAATTCTTTTTGTGCCCAAAGATGACAGGATTACATACGATTAAAAGTGTGCTTTCTAGATACAAAATCATGTCATCTGCAAACAGGGATAGTTTGACTTCCTCTCTTCCTATTTGCATGCCTTTTATTTCTTTCTCTTGCCTGATTGCTCTGCCCAAGACTCCCAATACTACACTAAATAGGAGTGGTAAGAGAGGACATCCTCGTCTTATGCCAGTTTTCAGGAGGAATGCTTCCAGCTTTTGCCCATTCAGTATGAAGTTGACTGTGGGTTTGCCATACATGGCTCTTATTATTTTGAGGTATATTCCATCAATACCTAGTTCATTGAGAGTTTTTAACATGAAGGGGTGAATTTTATCTAGAAAACCCCACAGTCTCGGCCCAAAATCTCCTTAAGCTGATAAACACCTTCAGCAAATAATCAGAATATAAAATCAATGTACAAAAATCACTAGCATTCCTATACACCAGCAACAGCCAAACTGAGAGCCAAATCAAGAACACAATCCCATTCACAACTGTCACAAAGAAGAATAAAATACTTAGGGGTACAGCTAACCAGAGAGGTGAAAGATCTCTACAAGGAGAACTACAAAACATTGCTCTAAGAAATCATAGATGACAGAAACAAATGGAAAAACATTCTATGCTCATGGATAGGATGAATAAATGTCATTAAGATGGCCATAATCCCCAAAGCAATTTATAGATTAGGTAAAAAAGGGCAAAGGACATGAACAGACATCTTTCAAAATAAGACATATATGCAACCAACAAGCATATGAAAAAAAGATCAACATCACTAATCATTAAAGAAATGCAAATCAAAACCACAATGAGATACCATCTCACACAATGCTATGCCTATCAAACTACCTATGACATTCTTCAGAGAACTAGAAAAAAACTGTTTTAAAATGAATATGAAACCAAAAAAGAGCCCAATAGCCAAGACAATTCTAAGCAAAAAGAACAAAGCTGGAGGCATCACATTGTCTGACTTTAGACTTCAAACTATACTACAGGGCTACAATAACCAAAACAGCATGGTACTGGTGCAAAAACAGACACATAGACCAATGGAACAGAATAGAGAGCTCAGAAATAGGGCCTTGCACCTACAACCATCTGATCTTTGACAAAGCTAACAAAAATAAGCAAAGAGAAAAAGACTCGATATTCAACAAATGGTGCTGAGATAACTGGTTCATTATATGCAGCAAATTGAAACTGGACCCCTTCCTTATACCATATATAAAAATCAAATCATGACAGATTAAAGACTAAAATGTAAAACCCAAAATAATAAAAACCCTGGAAGACAACCTAGGCAGTACCATTCTGGACATAAGAATAGGCAAAGATCTCATGATGAAAACACCAAAACCAATTGCAGCAAAAGCAAAAATTAACAAATGAGATCTAATTACACTTAAGACTTCCTGCAAAGCAAAGGAAACTATCAACAGAGTAAACAGACAACCTACAGAATGGAAGAAAAATTTGGCAAACCGTGGATCCAACAAAGGTCTAATATCCAGCATCTATATGGAACTTAAACAAATTTACAGGAAAAAATAAACAAGCCCATTTAAAAAGAGTAAAGGACATGAACAGACACCTTTCAAAATAAGACATACATGCAACCAAAAAGCATATGAAAAAAAAGATCAACATCACTGATAATTAGAGAAATGCAAATCAAAACCACAATGAGATACCATCTCACACCAGTCAGAATAGCTAGTATTAAAAAGTCAAAAAATAACAGATGCTGGCAAGTTTGCAGAGAAAAAGGAATGCTTATACACTGTTGGTGGGAGTGTAAATTAGTTCAACCATTGTGGAAAGCAGTATTATGATGCCTCAAAGAGCTAAAAGCAGAACTACCATTCAACCCAGCAATCCCATTACTGGGTATATACCCAAAGGAATATAAATCATTCTATTATAAACAGACATGCACATGTATGTTCACTCCAGCACTATTCCCAATAGCAAAGACATAGAATCAACCTAAAAGCCCATCAGTGACAGACTGGATAAAGAAAATATTGTACATACACACCATAGAATACTATGCAGCCATGAAAATGAATGACATCATGTCCTTTGCAGGAACATGAATGAAGGTTGAGGCCATTCTCCTTAGCAAACTAACAGAGGAACAGAAAACCAAATACCACATGTTCTCACTTACAAGTGGGAGATAAATAAGGAAAACACATGGACACATAGAAGGGAACAACACACACTGGGGCCTACTGGAGGGTGGAGAGTTGGATGAGGAAGAGGATGAGGAAAAATAACTAATGGGTACTAGGCTTAATACCTGGGTGACGACATAATCTATATAACAAACCCCAGTGATACAAGTTTACCTATGTAGCAAACCTGCACATGTACCCCTGAAGTTAAAAGCTTTTTAAAAAAGTGTGGACTCTATAGCCAGACAGCCTGGGTTCATATCATGACTCCACCCTTTACAAGCTGGGTGATCTTGGACTTTCATTTAAGCTCTCTGTGGCTGTTTTTTCTTCTTTAAAATGGTGCTAATATAGTACCCATCTCATAGAGTAATTGTAAGTATTAAATGAATTAAAATATGCAAGAGTGCTTAGAACGGTACCTTGTTCACAGTAAGCACTATGTGTTATCACTATTTTTTGAAAAATGATTAGATGTTGGCTAGGAAGAAAAAAAAATGAAGGGCTATTGGGGCATAGAGAGCAGTATATATAAACTGGGTGTTTATATAAAGAAAAAAGAATGGCATGTTTATAAAAATATTAATGAGTTCACTGTGGCCAGAATAATGGAGAAATGGGGAAAGAAGGCACTGGTTGGAGGATAAGGGTCATTCCATGAAGGCTTTATGCAACATTTAAACATTTGAAACAATTGACAACTTAAGGACTAAAACTATTATGTGATATCTCTTGAGAGGTCTTGTGGGTACAGGTCCCAAAAATTCAGGTGTTAAAAGTAGGAGTTTTTTTAGTCTACAGTTTAAACTGGAGGTAGGTAAAAATTTCAATAATGTGTACTGATAAGTACATGATTAGGTCGGTAGTCTTAATTATCTCAAATAATAAAACCTAAATGGTTAACTTTGTATTTTAGTATCTTTGTACTTCCCCCAGGCTTCTATTTCAAATTTCAAGAAACAAAACTGTGGACAATAGACATACTCTCTGTTTATTTGCACCAATATTTTACTCATACACTAACTGTATTTTTCAATTCAAATTTTCAAATTTTCTCCAAGTTTCTTTCTTCTTCTTCTTATTTTTTATTTTATTTTTTATTTTTTGAGAGGAATCTCACTCACTCTGTTGCCCAGGCTGGAGTGCAGTGGTGTGATCTCAGCTTACTGCAACCTCTGCCTCCCGATTCAAGCAATTCTTATGCCTCAGCCTCCAGAGTTGCTGGGATTATAGGTGTGCACCACCATGCCCTCTAATTTTTGTACTTTTAGTAGAGATGAAGTTTCACCATTTGGCCAGGCTGGTCTCAAACTCCTGACCTCAGTGTTCTGCCCTCCTCAGCCTCCCAAAGTACTGGGATTACAGGCATGAGCCACCAAGCCCAGCCTGTCTAAATTTCTTTCTATGGAAGCATAAAAGTTGGCTACAGAAATATATAGCTTAATATATCAGGAAGCTGTCAAAATGACCATGGGAAGAATTTAAATAATGATCCAGATATAGACATTAAGAACTGTGGTTTTGTGAATAGAATTGTGAGATTCATTCTCTGTGTGCTGGTTGTCATCTTATTAATATTCCAAATTTAAGGTAGGACTAGCTCACATTCTATTTTATCTCATTTTTACATAGTCAAGAAAGAAAAGCACGGTAGGTCTGTCTAAAACTCATGAAATATTCTAAGAATTCTTTTGACTCATCTAAAAAATCTTCAAGCCATAAATAATAATTAACCCTACTTGGAAAGTAGTTAAACACAAAATCAAAACTCCTGAGGGAAAAGAATAAAAGTCAAATCTCTGATCAGATGTTCTAAAATCTGAAAGCCAAGAAGAAAGATAATGCAGGTAAATTATCTTGAATATTTGAGATGGTGCTACCTAGTTGGTAAAAATTGGGACTCTTTTAGCAGGCTGCAAAGGAGTCCTAAAAGAAACTTCTATCTGAAAATAGGTGTTATAACTTTGTATGAAATCTTTATGGATATTTGCAGTCATTTGGAAAATCTAGATGAGATTTGCTCCCCTTCACTATGTTCTCCGCCAGTGAACAGGATCTTGTTTTCAAATCGCCTCCATGAAACCTCTTTCATTAGATATTTTGCAAATTTTCTTAATTTGCAAATATTTTTAATAGTAGACTTGATAGAAAACTACTGGGTTCTCATTACGTTCTTTTGGTTGAAGGATATGAAGAAAGTCTCTCCTTACACAAATGTGAAGTTGGAGAAGGGAGGTGTATTTTAATAGTCTCTTCAAATAACTGTGGATATTACTTTTTAATCCTATATCTTTAGGGCCTCCCAGTTCCCCCACTTTCTTTCTGTGCCCTAAGTGAAAATCACAGAGTATCTTGACAGCTCTGTGACCCAGCCAGCTGCAGATATTTTCCCAGCAGGCTTGAACCCAAACCAGGGCCTTGAACATTCCCAAGCACTGATAACAGTATCTAGCTTGTCCAAAACACTGAAAGAAACTGGCTCCAGCCCTGAGCCAAATTCTTTAAGCCCTCATATAAATTCCATGCCCTGACCCCCTCACTGTCCACAGGTGGAACACCCTTTTCTCTCACTGTCCATCTCAAGGATTGCTACAGCACTCTATAAAGAAGTTCCCCTAATAAATGCTTTGAACTGATCACCCTGGCATTTAGTGTTTCTTTCTTTGGAATCCCAACTGACCACATCTGGGGTTGGTTTGGGGTACTCCCTTGTGGGAACTTCCCTGCCTCTGCCTTTGGGGCAATTCCAGGCATGGGTTCAGTGGGACAAAACAATATAGGACAAAACAATATCCAAACTCGACAAGTGGTAGTTTCTCCGTTTAGTTGCAATGCGCAGTTTGGAACCACTATCAATGAACTTTTCATACTCTTACATTTAAATCATGTATATTTTGATGCATGGTTTTGTAATATCATGCTTTGGTCATTTGGAAAACATTAGTTTACTGAGTTATATAGATCTTCCAAATGTTGATGCCTTTTACCAAATACTATTTAAAAATCACATTCATTTATATTACCACAAATCTCATCGAAAGAATCTTTAACTACTGGGGAACTGTCACAGTGGCAAATACAAGTTTTCCAAAATTCTAATAGTTAATAGAAATCTTAAATTTTATCACTGGCAATACTTGCTGTGAATTGTTTATTGTTGAAAAAGCAGATCACTTCATTCATTTTCACAAAAATGGCTGTTGACCAAATGTACAAATCTGCATAACCACAGTTTATCTGTAATTGTTCCAAGTAAAAGTGATGTTTTATAAATAAGTGGCTAGTTCAGCTTGCAACTAAAGCAATCACATAAATGCTTTTTCTCAGGACAACTATCGTACACTGGCGTACAACAGGAGGGCTTTATACGCACCTTTCATTTTTAATGCAAGGTACTAAAAAGACATGTACTCAAGGATCAAAATTTAATGAAACAAATATTTTGCTGCTTCATCAAGGACAGTCACTTTTCCTTTCAATTGCATGTGTGTATGGTGGTAATGAATACAGTTTGATGCCACAGGCTTGATTTATGCTAAGGCACCAGCAGTTTTACCATTGCACCATCAGTGCAAACATCAGTACAGCAAAAATGGCAAATAACATGTTAATATTATAATGAGAATAGTCTTGACCTGACAAACCTTTTGAAAGAGCTTGAGAGACCCCGAAGGGTCTGCAGACTCCAATTTAGAAACAGCTGCCCTGGCCCTCTGTTCTTCAAATGATTCACCTGACCTCAGATCTCCCCTAGTTTTCTTCAGCATCTCTTCTGTCTACTTACAAAGCCCATCAAGCCTAAAGTTGAAAAAAAAAAAAAAAAAAAACTGCAGCCAATACTAGCTTTCTCTGCAGCCCGAAATCTAACTAATAGTTGACTTCACCCCACTCTAATTGCTAGCAAGTAGATCATCAGACTAACCAATAAATAAGTGGCCAGGGCTATTTTGATCCATAACACCCACACTTGCAGAAAGCACAAAGCTAAACCATACAAACAAAATAATTCAAGTGTATGTGTTTGGGGACCACAGAGCTCTATGTCATCTCACTAGTAAATTAGCACTAATCTTTGGAAGATATCCTTTTCTTGTCTGAACTACTGCAGTCTGTTACTGAACAGGGAGGAGTGATGAAAGAAGTGCTTGAGGAGCCCCAGATGACCTGTCACACAGCAGCTGGGATGCTATCTTCACTTGAGGCTTATGACATCCCTGTTGCTACAGGCATCCATTTGGTTGGAAGTGCCAAATCTCTTTTTAACTGAACAGTGGCTACAAGTGTTTCTTTACCTCCAGCAAATACATAGTATTTTGTACCCCCTTCTTCCTACAGCTACCCCTGACCACTAGAATGCATGCCCCATAAAAGAGGGATTTTTGAGCAGTAATGAGTTCAACAATTATTTATTAAAATATTAAAAAATGTTGACAAAGAATGTTTACTAAGTGTTAAGGGGTGAATTGTGCCCCTCAAAATGTTGACAAAGAATGTTTACTAAGTGTTAAGGGGTGAACTGCCCCTCAAAAAGATATACTGAAGTCCTAAACCCCAGTGCTTTAAAATGTGACCTTTATCTGCAAATAGGGTATTTGTAGATGTAATCAGATTAAGACCTTGAGGTCTTGCCCATTTTCAACTCATCTAACTGGCACAGAATAATCTTAAAACTTGAAATAGGTTAAGGTGATCCTACATTACTGGTACCCAGAGTCAACTGACAGGTGTTGTCTAGCAGAAGACAGTATCATTCAAGGTCTCCAAACAACACACTCTTAGAGAATTCAGCAATGTAAAAAATAATAGCATGTTTTAGACAGGAGATAAAAAGGCTTAAACAGATTTAATGAATCTGCATTTTCCTGGAAGACGGTAAACATATTTATGAGCATAAAAAGTCCAAAGTCAATGGTGAATTTCTAGCCAAAGAAGTAGGGCAAGGAAAAAAATTGTAAGAATTAGAAATAAAACTAGTATTACTCACAAATTATAAAAGTATGTGTGTGTTCCAAAGAAATCTACAAAGAATATTCAATTTTATATGTGAATTTTAAAAGGTGACTGGATACAAAATCAATATATAAAAACCAATTATAGATATACAAATGAGCAAGCATATCAAAAGATGTTAAGTATCACTGTCACCAGAGAAATACAAATTGAAACCACAGTGAGATATTGCTCATTAGGATAACTACTATCAAAGAAACAGAAAATAACAAGTATTGACAAGGATGCAGAAAAATTAGAACCACTGTGCACCGTTGAGGGTGTCATAAAATGATGTAACCTTTATAAAAAAACGTAGAGGTGTTTCTCAAAAAATTAAAAATAAAACTGCTATATTACTCAGCAAGCCCACTTTTGGATATATATCCAAAATAATTGAAAGCAGGATCTCAAGGAGATATCTGCACACCCATGTTTGTAGCAGCACTGTTCACAATAGCAAAGAGGTGGAAGTAACCCAATGTCCATTGATGGATAAGTACATAAACAAAATGTGGCCTATGCATACAGTGGAATATTACTCATCCTTAAAAAGGAAAAAAATTCTGACACATGCTACAACATGCATGAACCTTGAGGAAATTATGCCAAATGAAATAAACCAGTCACAAAAAGACAAATACAGTGTGATTGCACTTGTCTGATATATCTAAAGTGGTCAAATTCATAGAAACAGAAAATATGAGTGGTTATCAGAGCCTGGGAGGAGAGAGGAAAAAGGGAGCTATTGTTTAATGGGTAGAAAGTTTCAGATTTATAAGATAAAGTTCCAGAGATCTGTTTTACAGCTATGTATATATACTTATCACTACTGAACTGTATACTTAAAAATGGTTAAAACACTGAATTTTATGTCATACTTTTAGCATAATAAAAAATCAATTATATTTCTATATATCAGCCACATAGAGGATGATGCCCAGTGTATGTTTCCATTTACATAAAGTATAAAAATAGGCAAAAGCAATCTGAAATTCTTAAGAATATATACCTAGTAAAAGTATAAAGAAAAGTAAAAACATCATTATCATAAAAGTCAGAATCCAGGTTACCTTTAGTGTGGAGAGAGGGGTTGTGATCAGGAAAGGACAGAAAAGTACCTTCTGTGTGCTAGCAATGCTCTATTCATCAGACTTTGTGGTGGTGACAGAGAAGAGAAGGAGACAGGTACATTTGCATTATATCAATATGTGAAGGGTAAATCTATGTTTTGTGCATTTTTGTGTGTTATTTTTTACAACAAAAAAATTAAAAAGAAAGAAACCAAGGCCCTGAAACATTCTAAGTTTTCTGTATTTGCATAACTTTTAGGTGGCAAAGATGGAAAACTTAGGTCCATTTTTGTAGCTACTTGTATAAATAAACCTTGACCCATGTTCATTCAAGTCTGAAAGCATTAGACTAGAGAAGACCACAATGACATATAAGTAAAGGCAATCCAAAAGGCAGTCCACAGAAGCCAAACAACAGTTCAGTTCAACAAGCATTTGCTGAACCTGTAAAATGCTCCAGACCCTATATTATATACAGAAAATAGAAAAATAAATAAGACATGTTCCCAGCACTGAAGAGTTTTATAATATGGTAAGTGAGACAGACATTATCAATCCATCATTGTGATAGAATATAGTCAGAGTTATGACAAAAGTATGACATGGAAGCAAACCAGGTTTGGGGGGTATATTTGAGTGAGAAAGAGATAGGACTGTGAGAGTTGCAAGGACTCCTGTGATTCAAAGTTAGAATTAATGAGTTGAAAATAGGAAAGAGTTACAAGGGTCTTTTAGGCAAAGACAATATCAGCAGAGCTATGCATAGGGAAAAACGTTAGTATAATGCGTACTGCGGAATCATGAAGTATGAGGCAGGAAGTGATGAAGATGAAGCTAGAAGTAAGCAGAGGCCTCATATGCCAAGCTAACGAGCTTTGTGCATTTAAAATGATATATTTCTCCCTGCCATCTAACAGGTTACAATTTTGCAGGGAACAGGTAACATCATGCCAACAACTAGCTATGAAGCCTTGGATATCTCATTTCCACTGTCAGGGCCCAGATTGTTTATTTATTTGTTAAGGGAGAGCTTGAATTTGATGGCCTCCAAGATCAATCACATCTCGATCTGATTCTAAAGTTTTATGAACCAGTGTTAGGCCTGGTAATAAGCCGCTTGTTAAAATATTTTTCTCTGTTTTAAAAAAATTAATAAAGAGATCTATTTTATATATCTCATAGGAAAATTGAAAGACTCAAACAAGGAATCACAAGTGGTATGTATATAAATAGCCTTATTAATTAGAAAGAGTACTAAATGCAAATCAAAACTATGTAATGTTGAAAATGCCTCAGATGTAGTGACAATATTTTGGGGGCTCTCTTAGTCTATGCCAGATACTTTACCTATATTCTGTTACTTACACTTCAATAACCTCAAAAATGCCCTTATTGTCATCATTTTGAACACGAAGAATCCAAGGTTTGGTATATTAAACAAGTTACCCAAACTCCATGCCAAGGAGGTGGCAGAACTAGTGTCACACATTTTATCTGCCCTAAACCTCATTCTCTCCTCAGGTTTCAAATACATTAGTATCTCCATATAAGTAAATGAAAAGGACATGCTATTTTTTGAGCACTCATGCACTAAATTTATATAATGTTCAATATTTTCTTTCTCAATTCTACATAATGTTTTTGATTCACTTTAAATGCTTAGAAAAATAGGAAATACAACAAAGATAGCTTTTAGCAACTGAATTACTGTTTATCCAGAAATTAGCTGCTCAGAATAAGTGAAATTGTATTTACAACTGCCAAGATTATACCCAAAATGCTTTTAAGAAGCCCAAAATGCTTTTAATCAGTCACTCTAAATTTATTCATGTGTTGAAATAAGCACTGAAACACCAACAGGAATAAAAGAGTATACCAAGATTAAATTCAGAGGCTTCTTAAAATAACAATCGACAAGGCAGTCACAGACACTAACAAGTCCTGGTTTCTTTGGGATTATTTCCAAGAAAGGAAAATAAAGATCCCAAGGCCTAGGTTGCTGCTATTGAACAGAAAAGCAAATAATCAAATAATTAAGACAATTCCAGTGATTATTCACAGGAGATGTGACTACTTGATTTGGCTGTTGGCTATTTCTCCCTTTAGATTTTTCTTCCTTATGAAGGGGAACATCACACACCAGGGCCTGTTGTGGGGTGGGGGGAGGGAGGAGGGATAGCATTAGGAGATAACCTAATGTTAAATGACGAGTTAATGGGTGCACCACACCAACATGGCACATGTATATATATGTAACAAACCTGCACATTGTGCACATGTACCCTAAAACTTCAAGTATAATTTAAAAAAAAAGATTTTTCTTCCTTATAAGAAAACCCTTAAAAAAGTAGTTTTCCCCACATCTGACACAATCATTTAATTCTATGTTGAGCCTTTTAGGTTTCTAACCAGCTAAAGGCATCTGATGAGCATGACAGCAGGAAGAACAGTCAACACAGGAGCAACAGCCACAAGACAAGAAATGCATTATAGTGCTTCAATTCTTAATCTAACAGTGGTTCTCAAACTTGAGGGTGCATCATAATCTCCTGCAGAGCTTGTTAAAGGGCAGGTTGCTGGACCTCACCCCCAGAGCTTCTAATTCAGTTATGTCAGGAATGGGGTCCAAGAATGTGCATGTATGTTACTTTCCCTGGCAATGCACTCTGAGAACCACATCTATGCTTAGTTTTGGAAGTGAAACTCTATGTGCAACTTGTGACCAATAAATAGCCTCATTGTTTATAAAGGACTATCCTTCCTGTGTGGAGTTAACAGTTCAAAACAGGCCTATTTAGTTATTTGCTAAATATAGGTCTAATCAAACATTAACTGATGATAAGATTAATTGGTAGGGCTATGCTTACTCAGAATTATAAATTTGAATTTTTGCTACATATAATTTTTAAAATTATAGCATTTATTGAGAAACTGCTATATGGCAAGAACTGTGTTACGTATTTTTTTATATACAGCATTTCATTTAATTTTCATGAAAAAATCTATGATATAAATGCCACTATTACTGTATTTCCCAGTTTATAATAATAAAACATGCTTAGGAAGATTAATCCACTTGCCCAAGTTCACACTTTTAATAAATGATGGAGGCAAGCTTCAGTTCAGGCAGTCTGACCCCAGAATTGGAGCTCTATTGCTTTATACGCTATGACCTCCCGAGTAAAAAACACTGTGACTGTCAGAAATGAAAACTATAATCGCAAACTCCAGATCCAAAATGTGGATAAACAATTTATGAGATGAGCATTGGTATAGGACCACACAGGACACCAGGGCTTCTGTACCACAAGAATGTGTTATAGTTAGGTCACTACAAATTTTTAAAAAGAGAGCTTGGTATACAGAAAATCAATAGAATTGATTTGGCTATCTCTAGGTTAGGTTTCTTTGCAAAGTTTTCTCCATTTTCCTGAAATATAAAATTCAATGTTGGATGAAATTCAATGGTGAGAGTAAAATGTGCCTGGAAATGAGAGTTAGGAAATGTTCAAAGGGCATAAATAGCTCACTCGTTTTCAAGATAACATAGAACCTGCAGTATTTCAAAGGAAAAGGCAGGGTCCCAGCAGGTGGATATAGTACACAGACATGGCATCCAGGGATAGACAAAATCAGGAGTTAATGCACCAGATGGATATCGTCAGGGAGATGTATCCACACCCATCATGTCTGGGTTTTGGCTAGAGAAAAACAGAGTAGCAGGTCTAAAACTAGAACTCTTGTCTTAGGAAACAAAACGCATAGAGATGGGATAAACCTCAACTCAGGAACAAGGGATGGAAATATAAATCTATCCGAGGAACCCTCCCCCAATAATTCAATGTTATTTCATATAGGTTCTTTTCTATTTCCCTAAGTGTCAGCCGGTCTGAGAAATAAAGGGAAAGAGCACAAAAGAGAGAAATTTTAAAGCTGGGTGTCCGGGGGAGACATCACATGACGGCAGGTTCCATGATGCCCCCCAAGCCGCAAAACCAGCAAGTTTTTATGAGTGATTTTCAAAGGGGAGGGAGTGTACGAATAGGGTGTGGGTCACAGAGATCACATGCCTCACAAGGTAATACAATATTACAAAGCAAATGGAGGCAGGGCGAGATCACAGGACCACAGGACCGAGGAGAAATTAAAATTGCTAATGAAGTTTCGGGCATGCATTGTCATTGATAACATCTTATCAGGAGACAGGGTTTGAGAGCAGACAACTGGTCTGACCAAAATTTATTAGGCGGGAATTTCCTCGTCCTAATAAGCCTGGGAGTGGTATGGGAGACCGGGACTTATTTCATCCCTTATCTACAATCATAAAAGACAGACTTTCCTACAGTGGCCATTTTAGAGACCTCCCCCTAGGAACGCATTCTCTTTCTCAGGGCTGTTCCTTGCTGAGAAAAATAATTCAGCGATATTTCTCCTATTTGCTTTTGAAAGAAGAGAAATATGGCTCTGTTCCGCCAGGCTCACCGGCAGCCAGACCTAATGGTTATCTCCCTTATTCCCTGAACATCGCTGTTATCCTGTTCTTTTTTCAAGGTGCCCAGATTTCATATTGTTTAAACACACATGCTTACGAACAATTTGTGCAGTTAACGCAATCATCACAGGGTTCTGAGGCGACATATATCCTCAGTTTATGAAGATGATGGGATTAAGAGATTAAAGTAAAGACAGGCATAGGAAATCACAAGACTTGATTGGGGAAGTGATAAATGTCCATGAAATCTTCACAATTTATGTTCAGAGATTGCAGTAAAGACAGGTGTAAGAAATTATAAAAGTATTAATTTGGGGAACTAATAAATGTCCATGACATCTTCACAATTTATGTTCTTCTGCCATGGCTTCAGCCGGTCCCTCCATTTGGGGTCCCTGACTTCCCGCAACATAAATCGTAACAAGAGGTACTGAATGAAAATAAATTAAGATTCATAGATATCTACCTGGGAACTTATTGGCCAGCGCTAAAGTTTTTAACTGGGGTTAGGGGAAACAAGTTAGAGTTGAAATTTGCCAGAATAGAAAGACAAAACAAAATAATTAAATACTATCAACTTGCAAGAGAACTGTAGGACTGAACTTTCAGGCTTATCTGTGGAAATTCAGAAGTTGGCAGATGATGCAGAGATGATGCAGGTGCTGACACTGTAAGCTTCCAAGAAAAACGGTAATAAAAATCACAAATAATCCAGAACGTTCTATGGAATTGGAGTACAAAACGATTGCTGGGGCAATAAGTGTATTTGAAGGTTATGAGACACTAAACTGAATTCACCTTCCAAATCTCCCAAATTTGAGATGAAATCTTCTCCAAACCCCACTGAATTGAGAGAGCAATATATCAAAGAAGGCAATTACAAAAAAAAAAAAAAAAAAAAAAAAAAAACGGCCTTTCAAGGATTTTGAATTCTTAGAAGTAAACTCCCTATCTTGGCTTTGGAATTAGAATGAAAGTGGGCTCCTTTATAATTTCTAGAGATAAAGCTATGGAAACACATTTTTTTAAAAAAGCATTTCAATGATTTCTATGATTCAACGATTTGAATGAGCTCATTCAAAAACCCTGTCATGTCAAAATGATTGAGACTCACAAATCCACGTTTCTAGCCAGAGCCAGCTTTGTAGTTTGTAGTAAACAGAAATAAATCACCCAGGTTTTTTAATACTTCAATTTATATAGTAGTTCCTAATTTAAAATAAATAAATAAAAGAAATTTGGTCTTTAAAGAGTATAAGAATTTCAATCCAATGATCTTTGTCATAGTTAAGAGCATATATGAATAGTCTATACATGTGATTTAAAGTGTGACAAAATCTTTTGGTAGAATTACATAAAGCTGCTGACCAACTCGAGATTTTCTGACATCAGGAGATGTAAGATGATTCTGTAAAAAGCCTGATCAATATGCAACCATCAATGATGGAGTATGTCATCTAATTGTTCCTGTAAGATTTGAGAAACCAGAAGCTTAAATGGCCTCAAGAGCCCAATTTATAAGTTACATTATTGAGACTCAGGCAGATTATCTACCTCGCTTATTAGGAGACCATACAAGTTTAATTGGAGCTATTTATATTGGGTTATTCAGAGTCTTAAGGCATTAAACAATATAACACTATTCTCATATAATATCCACATAAATGACTAGACCTAGGAAAGTCTAAGCATAGTAATTAGGATAAACAGCTGGATAGCACAACCTGAGATTCTAAACAGTGCTTCTCCGGAATCACCTAGAGGTCTTTTTCTTCTGGGAAGATAGAATAGACATACTTTTCCCTATTTCTTCTGCCATGTGCAGGTAAAATTCCAGATATTATACATCAAACACAGGTAAACTCTGAAAAGTAAAGAGAAAAAGGGAAGAAGCTCAGGACCCAAACAACATACTAGAAAGTTTCCTGGTATTTCACTTTTTCTCATATTTCACAGACCTGGAACTGACAACCCAGAAATATTGATAGGCACAAACCAAAAAATACATATAAACATATAAACAAGCAAAAACCCACAACAAAAGCCTACTCTATTAACCAAAGAATCAAGAGAAAGAGAGACAATCTAGGGAGATTTTTTTTTTAATTCTAGAAAATAACCACTCTACTACAGCCAAATACAACAGAAATAAACTATGGCCCTAATCCCGACCACATCAGCAAAGACCAAGTGGAGAGAGCCTAGACTTCAATCCTCATGAGGGTATGATGTGGGACCCTCCAATATTACAACTGGGATAATGAAAGTGAAGGCCAAGCAGGAAGCCTAGACGTTCACCCTCACCAGGCTCTAACAGGGTGCCCCAACCACCACCAAACCTTCCTGTTTCCCAGGGTACAATCAAAGAAAACCAAGGAGAAGGTCAAGACTTTCATCCCCTCCAGGTAGTAGGAAGCACTCTCCTCCTGCAATGTTGGTGGTAATCACATAGAATCCCACTCACACCCAAAAAGAACAGAGTTCCCTCAAGTGAGTGCCAGTGGAGGCCAAATGGAATGGCTGGCTGGATGACTTCTTCACTCAACAATAATAAGACAGTGCCCTCCTTCCCCGTTGGAACAATGTTAGACACCAGCTGAAACAGATTATTTAAATAAAATCCAGAATCTCATAACAAATACCCAAAATGTACAAGATTAAATTGAATATCACTCATTATACCAACAACCAAGAAGATCTTAAATCAAATTTTTTTTAAAAAAGAATCCTAACACCAATATGAAAGAAAAGTTAGAATTATCTGAAAAAGATTTTAAAGCAACCATCATAAAAATGCTTCAATGAGCAATTATAAACATATTTGAAACAAATGAAAGTCTCAGCAAGCAAACAGAACAAAGAAACAAGCTTTAAAAAACACCTGAAAATTTTAGAACTGAAAAATACAATAAAAAATAAAAAATATCAATGGATAGGCTCAATAGCAAATGGTGAGGGCAAAAGAAAGTATCAATAAGCTAGAAGATAGATTAATAAAGATTACTTAATTTGAACAGAGAGAAAATAGACTTAAAAAGTGAACAAAGCCTCAGAAACCTGTGAGACTATACCGAAATATGTAGCATTCATTTTTATCAGAGTTCCAGAAGAAGAGGAGAAGTAAGGCAGGATTGAAAAAGTACTTGAAGAAATGAAACTTCTCAAATTTGGCAAACAACATAAGCCTAATGGAACAGAAATTTAAAAAAATTAAAGACTGTATAAGCAAAAACTCAGTTGTATATAAGAAAAGCCAATTCCCCCTAAACAAGAGAAAGGGCTGGAGTCCTTTAAAATTAACTGCCTGTTTTTCTGTGGCTACTGAGCCTTATCTCTCCCTTTCCCAGGCATTGTAAAGACCCTGTTTCTCTAGCTGTGCAGCTGTAAGGTCACTAGATAGATAAACTCAAGTCATAAAACATATTTCCTTAAAAAGTAAAAAATAATGTAATGCAAGTCTCAATTAAATAACTGTCTTTGTTTCTCACTTCTGTAATACGCTTCCCCCTGCACAGATCTCCCCCAGCCCACAAAATGCTTAAAAAGTAGTTTGACTCTTTGTTCGGGGCTCAGTCCTTTGGATGTTAACCTGACTGGGTTGGTGCACCTAAATGATTAAATAATTCCTCCTCAACTCCTCGGTCTCTCTGATTCCTTCATTATCCCACAGCACTACAGATTCAAGAAGATTAATTCAAGAAATTGAACTTCAAACAGGATAAAGTTAAAGAAATCCACACCAGGACACATCTTGGTGAAGGTTTTGAAAACTAAAGACAAAAAAAAAAAAAAAGCTTTAAAAGAAGTGAGAGAGAAACAAAAATTTACCTAAAAGAGAAAAACAATGAAATTAATAGTATATTTCTCACAGAAATCATGTAGGCCAGAGGAAATGGTAGATTTTCCAAGTACTGAAAGAAAATAACTGCCAAGTCAGAATTCCATACACAGCAAAAATTTCCTTTGGAAATGAAGGGTAAATTAAGACATTCTCAGATGAAGGAAGACTAAGAATTTGTTGGTAGCAGACCTATCCTAAAAGAATGACTAAAGGAAGTTCTCTAAACAGGTAGAAAACCAGAAGGGAATCTTTGAGTATCAGTGTGTAGAGAGAATAATGGCCCACAGAGTTGAGAGACACAGATGATTATTGCCAGGCCTTGAAACCAAATGGTGTTTGTCCTTCTGGATTTCAAGATTGCTTGTGGCTCTGGTTCCTTTTCCCCTTCCATTTTCTCCCGTTTTTAACAGGAATTTCTATAATTGGTATCAAATGCATGCCCCACCTTTGTATTTTGGAGGCAGATAACTTGTTTCCTAGTTTCACAGGTCCACATATAGAGAGAAATTTCTACAAAATGAATCACACTTAGAGTCTCATTCATACCTGATTGAAATGATTTAGATGGTGAGGATTGGGGCTTCTGAGCTGATGAGATTTAGATGACAATTTGAACTTTGGATAGATTATTCGATAGGTTGAGACTTTGGGGGATGCTAGGGTGGGATCAATATATTTTGGATATGGATAGACATAAATCATCATGGGGGCCAGAGAAGGAACTGTGGCAGATAGAATAATGACCCCTTCCCCAAAAAAAGATATCCACATGCTAATCCCTGAAACCAGTAAATATGTTACCTTATATGACAGCAAGGACTTTGTATACATGATTAAGTTAAGAATTTTGAAACAGGGAGATTATCTTGGATTAGTGAGTTGTGCTGGTTATAATCACAGCATATTAATAAGAGGAAAGCATCAAGGTCAGAGTCATATAAGAAGATGTGACAATGGAAGTAAAGCGTTAGAGAAAGAGGTTTAAAGATGTTATGATTCTCGCTTTGAAGACTAAGAAATGGTCATAAGACAAGAAATGCAAGTGGCCTCTAAAAGCTGAGAAACATAACATATTCTTCCCAGGAGCCTTCAGAAAAAAACACAGCCCTGCCAATACCTCAGTTTTCAACCGAATAAATTTATTTCAGACTTTTGGCCTGTAGAGCTATAAGATAATAAAATTGTGCTATTTTATTCCAGTAAGTTTGTGAAGATTTATTACGATAGAAAATTAAAGCAATGGTAAGCACAATTCTGTGTAAACACAATTAAATTTCCTTCTCTTCTTGAGTGCTAAATTATGTTTGATGGTTGAAACAAAATTTATAACACTATCTGCTGTGCTCCTAAATATCTGAAAGGAAATATTTAGAATACAATTAAATTCTAAACAAGGGGAAATTATGTAAAGGGCAGTAAAGGCAGTACAGCTTCTGTACGAACTGATAAAATGGTGGCACCGGTAGACTCTGATAAATTTATATTAATTTTATATAAATATAAAATTATAAAAACACAAACTACCACAACTATCAGTCTATATATATATATATATATATATATATATTTATGCCCAGAGCAAACACAAAAATAGTTATATAAAGAGATATATAACTCAAAAACTCTATAAATAAACCAAAGTGAAATTCTAAAAAAAAATGTTCAAGCAACCACATGAAGACATGTAAAGGAAAAGAGAGAAGCCAAAAATAAAGAATAGTCTGAAAACAAAAATTAAAACAGCATAATTAAATCCTAATGTATCAATAATTACATTAAATGTAAACAGTCTAAATATACCAATTAATAGGGATTGACAAAGTAGGTAAAACAAAAATAAAACCACTATATGCTATGGATTTCTGTGGAAATTCACTTCAAATTTAATTATATACACAGGTCAAAAGTGAAAGAATGGAAAAAGATGTACCATTAACCAAAGGTAAGCATGAATGGCTATATTAATATAAGATAAAGTAGACCTTAAAGCACAGAAAATTACCTAAGACAGAGTGAGATATTACATAATAAAAATGTCAAGCCATCAAGAAAACATAGCAATCTTAAATTTAAGTATGTATCAAACAAGACAGCTGTAAAACACGTGAAATAAAAACTGACAGAACCAAAAGGAAAAGCACACAAATCCACAGTTTTAGTTGGAGATAACATCCGTCTCTCAGCATCTGAAAGAACAGCTAGACAGAAAATTAGCAAGGATATAGAAGATCTCAACAACACCATCAACCAATGGTATCTAATCAATATTTATAGATCACTCCACCCAACAAAAGCAGAAAACACATTATTTTCTAATGACCATGGCCCGTAAGCCATATACTGGGCCATAAAACAAACTTTAACATATTTTTAAAAATTGAAATTATGCAAATTGTGTTGACTGGTGCAATAAAATCAAATGAAAAATGAACAAAAGAAAGATAACAGAAAAAGTTTGAAACACGTGAAAACTAAACAGCACATTTATAAATAATTCATAAGTAAAAAAGAAGTCTCAAAGAAACTGAAAAAATACATTGAACTGAATGAAAATGAAAATATAACATATCAAAGTTTGTTAAAGCAGTACTGACAGCCAAATTAATAAACTAAGTGCATACAGTAGAAAACAAAAAAGTCTCAAATCCATAACTTAAGAGCCTGAAAACAGAAAAGTAAAATAAACCCAAAGTAAACAGGAAGGAAAATATAATAAAGATAAAGATAAGGGCAGAAATCAATTAAATTGGAAACAGAATATCAATAGAAAAAGAAAAATAGTTTATTTCTTGAAAAGAACAGTAAAATTGGTAAACCTCTAGCAATAACGACAAAGAAAAAAAAGAGAAAACACAAATTTCCAGTATCAGAAATGAAATAGGATATCACTACAGACCCTGCAGACATCCAGACATCAAAAAGAATCTCTAAGGGAACTAAGGGAACACTACAAACAATAATATGTGCATAAATTTTGCAACTTAGATGAAATGAACGAATTCCTTTAAAAACACAACCTACCACGACATACCCAATATGAAAGAGACCGTTTGAATAACCCTGTAACTTTTGAGGAAATTGAATTCATAATCCAAATATTTACAAAAAAGGAATCTCCATGCCCAGATGTTTTCACCAGAAAATTCTACCAAATGTTTAAGAAAGATTCTACACAATCTCTTTCAGAACCTAGAAGAGATATTAACACTTCCCAATTTATCTTAGGAAGTTAGCATTACCCTTTTATCAAAATCAAACGAGGACAATACCCAAAAAAGAAAACTTCAGACCAATATCCCTCATAGATTTAGATGCCAAAACTCTTAACATAACACTGGCAAATAGAATGTAGCAAAATATAAAAAGAATTAGATATTATAACCAAGTGGAGTTTATAGCAGGGATGCAAGGCTGACTCAATATGTGAAAACTAATCGATATAATCTGCCATATAAACAAGCTAAAGACAAAAAAATCACAATGATCATATCAACCAGTGAAGAAAAATTATTGCACAAAATTCACTATCCATTTATAATAAAAACTAAAAAATAGGAGTAGAGGGGAACCTCATTTCCCTAGGAGAGAGGAAGAGCATTTACAACAAACATTATCCTTAATGGTGCAAGACTGACTGCTTTCTTCCCAAGATGAAGAACAATGTAAGAATGTCTGCTCTCACCACTCTTCTTCACTGTAGTATTGGAAGTTCTAACCATTATATTAAGTCAAAGAAAAGGAAATAAAAGGTGTACAGATTGGAAATAAATAAAATTGTTCACATTTGCAAATGACATGATTGTCTATACAGAGAATTCCAAGGAATCTACTAAACGTTAAAAATGTCCTGACATTAATGAGTTCAGGAAGATCACAGGATACAGAATAATCATACAAAACTCAATTGCTTGTATACATACTAGCAATGAACACATGGAAAAGGAAATTTAAAATATAATGCCACTCACAGTCACTAAAAATAATAAATACTTAGGTATAAATCTAAATAAATATGTACAGGACTTGTATGCTGGAAAGTACTAAACGCTGATGAAAGAACTAAAATAAATGTAAATAAATAGAAAGATATAATATATTCATGGACGGAGAGACTGAGCATCATAAAGATGTCCATTTTCCCAAAATTGAGGTGTAGATATAAGGCAATTCCTCTAAAAATCTCAGCAAGATTTTTTTTGTAAATATAGATAATATTATTCTAAAATTTATATGGAAAGGCAAAGGAACTAGAATGGCTAAAACAATTTGGAAAAGGAGATTAAAGTGGGAGGAATCCATTTACCGGCAAGATTTATTATATAGCTACAGTAATCATGACTGTGAGGTATTGTCAGAGAGTTAGACACATAGATCAATGGAGCAAAATAGAAAACCCAGAGACAGACCCATACAAATATATTCAACTGATTGTTGACAAAGGTGCAAAAGCAATTCAGCTGAGGAAATATATCCTTTTCAATAAATGGAGCTGGAGCAATTGGACATCTAGAAGAAGAAAAAAAATTAATCTAAGTTTCATCCTATATATAAAAATTAATTCAAAGGGATCACAGGCTTAATGAAAAAAGTACAACTATAAAACTTTTAGTAAAAACATACGAGAAAATGTTCAGGATCTAGTGCTAAGCAAAAGTTCTTAAATCTAACACCAAATGCAAAAGCTATTTTTAGAAAAGTTAATAGATTGAATTTCATCAAAATGGACAACATTTGCTCATAAAAGACACTGGAAAGAGAATGAATGGACAAGGTACAGTGTAGGAGAAAATACGTGCAAGCTACATATCTAAGAAAAGGCTGCTATTTACAATACATAAAGAACATTCAAAACATCCAATTAGAAAATGGGCAAAAGACAAGAAGAGGTATTTCACCAAAGGGGATATACAGTTGACAAACACATGACAAGAAACTCAACATCTACCCTAAGAGAAATGCAAACTAAAACCACAATGAAATGTCACTACATACTTCAGAATGGCTAAAATTAAAAGTTAGTAATAGCACCTTATGCTAGTAAGGATGGGAAGAACTGGATCACTTACACATTGCTGGTGAGAATGTAAAGCAGTACAAGCACTCTGGAAAAGTTTAGTAGTTTATTTTTTAAAACTAAACTTGCGACTACCATACTACCTAGCAACTGCACTCCTGAGCATTCATATCAAAGAACACAGAGACCACCTCACACTCATTAGGACAGCTACTGTCAAAAAAACAGAAAATTACAAGCGTTGGCAAGGATGTGGGGAGATTTGAACTCTTGTGAACTATCAGAAGAAATGTAACACAGTGGAAAAAACATAATGGTGGTTTCTCAAAAAACGTTCAAATGGAATTATATGATTTATCAATTCTACTTCTGGGTATATAACCAAAACAAATGAAAATAGTATCTCAAAGAAATATTTTACACCTATATTCATAATAACATTATTCATAATAGCCAAAAGGTGAAAGCCAACCAAGTGTCCATTGACAGACAATGGATAAATATGTGGTGTATACATACCACAGAACATTATTCAGACTTTAAAGGAAGGAAATTCTGACACATGCTACAACATGAATGAACCTTAAGGACATTGTGCTAAGTGAAATCAGCCAGTCACAAAAGACAAATGCTGTATTATTCCACTCATATGAAATACTTAGAAGAGTCAAATTCATAGAGACAAAAAGTAAAATGGTGGTTTCCAGGGGCTGGGGTAAGGGGAGAATCAGGAATTGTTTAATGGATATAGTTTCAGTTTTGCAAGATGAAAAGAGTTCCAGAAACGGGTTATACAACTATGTGAATGTACTGAGCACTACCGAAATGTATATTTAAAAATGGATAAGATGGTAAATTTTATGTTATGTGCATCTCACCATAATTGTTTGAAATAAAAGAACATAGACCTCTACTGCTGTTTCCTCAGCTTTGGGAGTCCCCAGTGGCTCCACCACAACCTCTGTTGCCCTATGACCTGAAGATACTGGGAGATCTGCAGGGAAGAGACTGGGACACCCCACAAGCCAGGAAACGATATGGGACAGACAGGATCAAAAGTCATCCCTCCACCCACCTAAAATAAATGCATATTTGACTGCTTCGTCTACTCTGTGTTTACTTTATCTTAAGTAAAAATGCAGATTCACTGAATGTGAGACAAATCAGTAATTGACTATTACTCTACACTTTCTGT
This sequence comes from Homo sapiens, assembly GCF_000001405.40. Lineage (NCBI taxonomy): Eukaryota > Metazoa > Chordata > Mammalia > Primates > Hominidae > Homo > Homo sapiens. The sequence continues at coordinate 53,397,928 of NC_000002.12, forward strand.
TTACATGTAAAATGTAGATTTAGTGAACACAGCTCAAAACCTCAAAAGAATGCAACTGCTTGCCCTTTTTTTCTACTCTCCCACTTTTTTTTCTGTCCTCTTTCCCCTACTGCCCACTATTTCCCCTCTAAATACTGAAGTCCCCAGACCCTCTTCGGAAAAAGCATTAATCACAGATGTTCCTGTGGTTTGTTTCTTTTTCCTGGGCACCTCCTCAACCTCAGCAAAATAAACCTCTAAGTTGATTGTGGGGGGGATGGGAGAACATACAAAAAATATAATATTTGTACAAGAGCCAGAAGTAAACCTAAAGGGACCGAGGGACCTCTATCTGGTACTTTATTAAAAAGTCATTACCATTTCCTTGCACAATTATAAGAAAAATAAAATGCGAAGAGTTAGGGAAGGTGTTAAATAGAGAATTTTTATAAAACTTCTCTTAAAATCTTTCAACATTTTTTAATGAAGCCATTTAGCCATTAAAAAAAAGTGATATAAAAAAGTTGTATCCATGGTTAGAGTTAAGACGGTTTTATTAAATTCCTGTTCAAGACATTTTAATGGTGATCTCTATAAATTCTTGATGGACACCATCAATGAGAAACTGTTCTTACTGTTCTTACTAGTAGGTGATTTAAAATAAATAAATAAATAAATAAAACATTTTTATGCAACCATTCAAAAATTTACAACAGTTGAAATTATATCTTGAATTGATTTTTGTATAAGGTGTAAGGAAGGGATCCAGTTTCAGCTTTCTACATATGGCTAGCCAGTTTTCCCAGCACCATTTATTAAATAGGGAATCCTTTCCCCATTGCTTGTTTTTCTCAGGTTTGTCAAAGATCAGATAGTTGTAGATATGCGGCATTATTTCTGAGGGCTCTGTTCTGTTCCATTGATCTATATCTCTGTTTTGGTACCAGTACCATGCTGTTTTGGTTACTGTAGCCTTGTAGTATAGTTTGAAGTCAGGTAGTGTGATGCCTCCAGCTTTGTTCTTTTGGCTTAGGATTGACTTGGCGATGCGGGCTCTTTTTTGGTTCCATATGAACTTTAAAGTAGTTTTTTCCAATTCTGTGAAGAAAGTCATTGGTAGCTTGATGGGGATGGCATTGAATCTGTAAATTACCTTGGGCAGTATGGCCATTTTCACGATATTGATTCTTCCTACCCATGAGCATGGAATGTTCTTCCATTTGTTTGTGTCCTCTTTTATTTCCTTGAGCAGTGGTTTGTAGTTCTCCTTGAAGAGGTCCTTCACATCCCTTGTAAGTTGGATTCCTAGGTATTTTATTCTCTTTGAAGCAATTGTGAATGGGAGTTCACCCATGATTTGGCTCTCTGTTTGTCTGTTGTTGGTGTATAAGAATGCTTGTGATTTTTGTACATTGATTTTGTATCCTGAGACTTTGCTGAAGTTGCTTATCAGCTTAAGGAGATTTTGGGCTGAGACGATGGGGTTTTCTAGATAAACAATCATGTCGTCTGCAAACAGGGACAATTTGACTTCCTCTTTTCCTAATTGAATACCCTTTATTTCCTTCTCCTGCCTGATTGCCCTGGCCAGAACTTCCAACACTATGTTGAATAGGAGCGGTGAGAGAGGGCATCCCTGTCTTGTGCCAGTTTTCAAAGGGAATGCTTCCAGTTTTTGCCCATTCAGTATGATATTGGCTGTGGGTTTGTCATAGATAGCTCTTATTATTTTGAAATACGTCCCATCAATACCTAATTTAAATCAATTCAAGATGGATTAAAGATTTAAACGTTAGACCTAAAACCATAAAAACCCTAGAAGAAAACCTAGGCATTACCATTCAGGACATAGGCGTGGGCAAGGACTTCATGTCCAAAACACCAAAAGCAATGGCAACAAAAGCCAAAATTGACAAATGGGATCTAATTAAACTAAAGAGCTTCTGCACAGCAAAAGAAACTACCATCAGAGTGAACAGGCAACCTACAACATGGGAGAAAATTTTCGCAACCTACTCATCTGACAAAGGGCTAATATCCAGAATCTACAATGAACTCAAACAAATTTACAAGAAAAAAACAAACAACCCCATCAAAAAGTGGGCGAAGGACATGAACAGACACTTCTCAAAAGAAGACATTTATGCAGCCAAAAAACACATGAAGAAATGCTCATCATCACTGGCCATCAGAGAAATGCAAATCAAAACCACTATGAGATATCATCTCACACCAGTTAGAATGGCAATCATTAAAAAGTCAGGAAACAACAGGTGCTGGAGAGGATGTGGAGAAATAGGAACACTTTTACACTGTTGGTGGGACTGTAAACTAGTTCAACCATTGTGGAAGTCAGTGTGGCGATTCCTCAGGGATCTAGAACTAGAAATACCATTTGACCCAGCCATCCCATTACTGGGTATATACCCAAAGGACTATAAATCATGCTGCTATAAAGACACATGCACACATATGTTTATTGCGGCACTATTCACAATAGCAAAGACTTGGAACCAACCCAAATGTCCAACAATGATAGACTGGATTAAGAAAATGTGGCACATATACACCATGGAATACTATGCAGCCATAAAAAATGATGAGTTCATATCCTTTGTAGGGACATGGATGAAATTGGAAACCATCATTCTCAGTAAACTATCACAAGAACAAAAAACCAAACACCGCATATTCTCACTCATAGGTGGGAATTGAACAATGAGATCACATGGACACAGGAAGGGGAATATCACACTCTGGGGACTGTGGTGGGGTCGGGGGGAGGGGGGAGGGATAGCATTGGGAGATATACCTAATGCTAGATGACACATTAGTGGGTGCAGTGCACCAGCATGGCACATGTATACATATGTAACTAACCTGCACAATGTGCACATGTACCCTAAAACTTAGAGTATAATAAAAAAAAAAAAAGAAAGAAAAAAAAAAAAAAAAGAAATTATATTTAAGGAATTTGAGAGCTCTTCCATTGACAAATATAACTATTCAATTTTTTGTAATAACATGAAGACATTTTAAATCCAATTGAAATTTTCATATCAAGTATTTCAAAATAATGAGGAAGCCTTGATTTTTAGAATACATATATTTTAGAACAAAACCCTATAGCTAGCCTGGACATAAGTAAAACGGCCCATCCATGGATGGACAGAAGTATCTGATATTTGACAAGAAAGAGCTTCTTGATTCCCATCTGGGGGTGCAGTCACAAGGAACCTCCATCTAGCCTGCCAGCCCCACCACCATCCCACTGGCATCACCTTAACCTACACCCTTGGCTGGTGCTCTTAAGACACCTAGAACATGAGATCATTCAGTAGTGCCCAGACTTCTTATGCATACTGAGCAGCAGAATGCCCTGCAACAGGCTGCTGGAGGAGATGAGGAGGGAGGCATGCCCTGGTACCGAAGCTAGGCCGGATAAGTACCTTTGCCATCCCCAGCACACATGGGGAGTGTGCTACCAGACGCTGCTCCTGGCTACCCTCTAAGAAGCCTTAGATAAAACTGCTCCCTCCAGAGACAGCTACCTGGGAGTTCCAGTTACCCCAGCCTTCCTAAGGGCTTAGGGGACCATTATCTTAGCATGCCATGGCAAACCCTATAAGAAGCTCTAGGATAGGGAGAAAACACAATCATTTTAAATAAGTATGGCATGTAAGTTCATTTTTCTAGTAGATATTCAGATGTGCTAACATTCACTGCTTACAGAAGAACTTTTCAGTGTCTCACCTTTCTTTTCTGAAATGTGACATGGCTCCAGACTTAAAGGACCCTTAGTTGCATGTTGTGAATATCAAATAAACTTCTGACCTGAAAAAGAAACACAGAAAGATCACCAAATAAAACTGTCATAACACAGCTGTCACTGACTCATTCATTCAAGTACCCCTTATTAAGCACCCCTTATGTGACAGGAAATATTTTAGACACTGAGAATAAACTACTAAACAAAACAGACAAAATGTCTTCCTTCAACGAACTTACTTTTCACAGGGGAGAGGAATACATGTTAAAAATATTAATGAAGAAGAAATTATATAGTATTATAAAGTATGTGCTACCAAAAAAAAAAAAAAAAAAAGAGGGATAGAGAGTGCTGAAGTGGAAGAAAGTTCAGGAAGTTTGTGATTTTAAATACAACGGTCAGAAAACACCTTGCTGAGAAGGGGACGTTTGAGCAAAGATTTGAAACAGATGAGGAAACTGGCAACATGGATGTCTGAAAGGGAATCACTGCAGAAAATGGAACTGCGAGGCCCTGGGGAGAGCATGAGCGTTTTCAGGGAACAGAAAGGAAGCTGGTGAGACTGAGCAGAGTGGAAAAAGGGGAAGGCTGTGAGCAGAATGTTACATCTTCACTTGGGGTATGAGGGGTAGATTCTGTAGAGCCCGATAGGCCACTGGCTTCTACTCTACATGAAATGGGGAGCCACTGGAAGGTGTTAAGCAAAGGAGGAACATGAGTTAAGTTTCAACAAGATTACTCTTGTTAAAAGAGTGATCTTGTGTTGAGCATAGCCATAAGGAGGTGTGGTAGCATCAGGGAGTGAATTCAAAGGTGGCTGCAATAATACAGGTGAGTGGTAACAGTAGCTTGGACCAGGAAAGCAGTGTGGATGGCAAGAAGTGATCAGATTTTGGAAGTGTTTCTTATCAAGAATTTCCTGTTGGATTGCATGTAGGACATGAGAGAAAAGAAAAGTCATGGGCAATTCCAAGGTATTTGACTTGAACAATTGAAAAGGAGTCATCATTTATTGAGATGTGGAACAGCTTTAGGATAAGAGAAAATCTGCAGATCAGTTTGGGAATGCTAAATTTTAGATACTTATTATTATCCAAATGGAGTTGTTGAGGAGGCACACAGATATATGTGTCTGGAGTTCAAGGGAGAGAAAGCAAAAAGAGATCTCTTGAAACCAAGAGAATCTTGCAAATAAAAGTTCATGTTTAGGAAAATGACCAAAATAGTAAGACAAAATGTCTAAACCCGAAAGGCCCAAGAATGGGTCCTGAAGAGAGTGATGTGGTATGAGGGGCTTTCCAATAACCCACCCTACAGTCTGAGAAGTTTTTCTAAAATGGAGGCCTGATTATGCTATCCCTCTGCTCAGGACTCTTGTACAGCCCCCAGGCTCTAAGAATGCAGTGCAAACTCCTTAGCATGACTTGAACCCTCATCATCTATCCCCTGCTTAATGATTCATTCAGCCTCATTTTTTGCCACAACATTCCTCCCAATCCCTTGCCCCCACAAAAGCATTCTCCAAAGAGGCTGGCTGACTTTTTAAAACTCAACACTTATAGCTATCTCTGATTTTTCCCTTCCCCACTCTCTTACCCAGACTAACCCCTATTGCTCTTTCAAGTTTCTGATAAGATATTGTCTCATTCCTTATTCTCATTGCCTTTTAACCCACTAGGTTAGAAGCTCTGTGAAAGGCAATGTATTAGTTTTTTGTAGCTGCTGTAACAAATCACTACAAAATTGGTGGCTTACAACAGTAGAAATTTATTCTTTCTCAGTTTTGGAGACCAAAAGTTGGCTGTTTTGGTGGGCTGAAATAGAGTTGTGGGAAGGGCCCCACTCCAGATGGAGGCTCTGGGGGAGAATCCTTTTTGTGGCCTTTTCCTTCTTCTGGAAGCTGTCCTGCCTCCGAGGCCCACGGCTCTGCACCTCCCCTTGCTTTATCATATTGCCTTCTTCCTCTTCTCTCACATTCCCTCTGCATCCCTCTTAGAAGGACACTGTGATTTCATTCAGGGCCCACCCAGATAATCCAGAATATTCTCCCCACAACAAGATCCTTAATTTCATCACATCTGCAAAGTCTCTTTTATTATATAGGGTAACATATTCACCGGTTCTGTGGATTAGGACTTGGATCATTATTTGTGGTCATTATTCAGCCTACTACAGTCAAGACTGGCTGTTCTATTCATCACAATATCCCCAGCAGCTAGTGCTGCATCTGCCATATAAGAACCCAGTTAATAGTACTGAAGAATACGTGAATGAATTTAGTGAGTTTTTATCACCCGAATGCCTCATTAATCTTCCTCATAGACACAACAAGAGATAAGTCATTACAGTAGTCACTCTTCTCCGTTTCACTTTCTGTGGTTTCAGCTACCCATGGACAACTTCAGTTTGAAAATATTAAATGGAAATTTTCAGAAATAAACAACTCACAAGTTTTAAACTGGGCATTTTCCTGAATAGCATGATAAAATCTTGCACCATTCTACTCCATCCCACCCAGGATATGAATCATCTCTGCCCAGCATATCCATGCTGTATATGCTACCTGCCTGTTAGTCACTCAGCAGTCATCTGAGTTTCCTTGTGATCACTAGATTACAAGAAAAAGGAGGGTGAGTATGGTGCATGAGATATTTTGAGAGAGACCACATTCACATAACTTTTATTACACTGTATTGTTACAATTGTTCTATTTTATTATTAGTTATTGTTGTTAGTCTCATACTGTGCCTAATTTCAAAGTAAATTTTATCATACATATGTATATATAGGAAAAAACATAGTATAGGGTTTGGCAGTATCCATGGTTCCAGGCATCCACTGGCGTCTTGGAACATATCACTCACAAATAAGAGGGGGCTCCTGAATCTCTTATCAACTTATTTTTGATAAACAAAAAGAAGTTTTCATTTGATCAAACAGCTTTTTCTCCTAGTATCAGATTTGACAAAGTTTATTAAGCTAGGGAAAAAAAAAATCCTTCGTCAGGTTATTGAGATGAAATACAGAAAACGGCACTGGGGTTCTTATCAAACTTAAATCTTACTGTAAACTTCTAATTGCCTCCCCAAAATGCAAATAATAAATCCTTTTGGGAAGACTATAGCTTGCCGTGAGAATGGTTAATAAGGGTTGGTGTGGGGGATTCAGTTACCAGGAATGAATGAGGTCCTGGGAGTCCAGGTCCCAAGGACACATGTGAGGTTTAATTTTCTCATCTTTATCATCCCAAAATGCCCCCTTTCTGATTAAGTCCCAGTAATGTTCCCTTGCATAACACAGTTCATTTAAAAGTTTAAATTCATGAGAAAATGATATAAAGAAAATATAAAACACAGCTAAGTAATTTTAAAGAAAATGTGACTAAGGGCTACTCATGGTACATGACTATGGTACATGTCTACCCAGAATAAAAACATTTCCCATCTTCCCTTCCAGCTAAGTGCAGCCAGATGACGAGTTGCTGAAAAATGGAGTATAAATGGAAAGCTGTACGTAAAACTTCTAATAAGTGCCCTTAAAGGAAGAAGAATGATCTTTTTCTCCTACCTTTTTCCTTACTCCTGGCTAGAGAGTAGGCATGATGATTAGAGTTCAAGCAGCTATCTTGGAACATAAGGCATCAAATTAAGAATAACAGAGCACTAAGAGAGAAGAAACTGAATCCTGATAATCATGCAACTACCATAAAAATCCTGGATTCCCTACCTCTGGAGTCCTCTGTGTTGAACAGAAATATACTTCTACCTTATGTAAGCCACTGTTATTTGTATTTATCTGTTATGTGTAGCTGAATCTAATCCAAAGTGATTCAGAATGTGGATACCTGGAAGTGGGCACCTAAAAAATATCAAGTATTGGCTTCTAAGGTGTGGTGGGTAGTAGGTCACAACAAATTATTAGAGGGTGGAAATCTAGGAACCCTCTTTTCATGATGGCACAGTTCCCTCATAACATGGTGGCTTGTTTCTAAGAGAAAGCATCCTAGAAAGACAGGTAGAAGCTGCATCACCTTTTATGATGTTGCCTTGGAAGTCACTTGGTGCCATTCTGCCATACTCTTTTGTTGAGGCAGTCAAAAGGTGCAAGTTTCAAGGAGAGGAAACAGAGACTCTACTTCTTGATGGGGAAATAACTGCTTATTTTGTAAGAAGAACTCGTAGGATGGAAGATATTGTTACATCCATCTTTAGCCAGGGGAAGGTCTATAACTGTCTATACTTCAGAATACAATTCCTGCCCTACTCCCCCCAACAAAACAGCAAAAATAATAAGTGATGTGAAAGATTCCATGGGGCTTACTAACCATTGTCCTCAGAGATGTCCTTGCATGGAAATAGAAAAGAAAAAACTTTCCAGGAGCAAATCCAGAGCAACACAGGACAATGGATGAGGGAGTTCCTTCCAAAGAACAGAATCAGAGGTTTTTGGGTGGCTAATCAAGGAACTTATCCCTCACATTCCTGCCTGCAGGGAATTTATAATTACTAAGGACCAGTGAATGATGGTTGTTTCCATTCTATCCATTTCTAAATGGGAGTTTTTATTGCAATTATCGTATTCCTTCTCCGCAATACAGTATGTTAGTTGTGTTTATGGCAATTTGTCTTTTAATTTATGCACTACCAGAACTTAAAAAGTCATACCCAAGCTTCATGGATAGGTTTGCCTAACTCTCAGAGATCCTGGACTTTGAACTACAATTAGTAAATTAATGGGATTCAGGGTTGCCTCCCTAAAAAGGAAGAGGGTGGCCAAAAATCCAAATTTGCCCCAAATGTTCATGTTCTCCTTTTTCCATAAGAATAGAGCCTTGCATTTTTAGCTAGGCACTTGACCCCACAGAAAACTAACCATACCCCAGCATTCACTGGAGCTGGGAGTTGGCATGTAATTAAGTTCTGGAACATGGAAACATCATATGTAACTTCCAGGAAGTGTCCTTAAATAAAGAAGACATGCCCTTCCTCAATCCCTTCTCCTTGTTGCTAACTGGAAGACCAAAGTGAATTCAAGTGACCATCTTGGGCCATGAAGCAGACACACTATGCTGCTAGAGTAACAAAAAAATGAGGATTGCAGCTCCTTGATGACTGCTAAGCTTCCATACTAAACCTGGAATGTTTACTTCAAGATTCCTTTATATAAGATAAAAACAAACTTCTATTTGTTTAAGCTGTTATTTGGGATTCTTCTGTTTGCACACCAAATCCTAATTGATATAGCATATAGCTGAATGGAGGAAGATGCTATAATGTCAAGTAGATTAAAATAAACGTTAGTCATATAACAACATCCTGCTTCACAAAAAAATTGAGTGACAAAAAGTGATTCAGAGATGTCCTCTGTCACCACATGGCAGCCAAAGATAGCTTTCAAAATTTGAATTAGATCTCATTAACGCTCTAGTTTAAAATTAAAATCTCTATCTTATAATCCTTAAAATTAAAAATCTCTATCCTATAATTTCCCCTGGGATAAATCTCCTTAACCTAATATGATATTCCCTGTGTAATCTGGTCCCTTCTACCACTCCAATCTGACTTACTCCCAGAATCCTATCCCACTTTGAGATCTGCCCACACTGGCTTTTCAGCTCCTATTACTCAGAACCATAGCCGGGGGTATTAAATTATACAACTGGTCCCCTGAATACATTCTCCAATACAACTGGTCCCCTGAATACATTCTCCAAAATAGGTACCTATTTTAAAGTAAAATTTAGCATGACAACTATTAATATTATGGAGAATTAATGCAAGATCATGATATATGTAAACAGAAACCGAAAAGGTGGCTTTTCACGTTACCTCCCACACTACTGGCCTGGTTCATCCCTGACTCACTCCAAAAATTTTAAAACCTAGCTCTGCCCTGAATCTTATTCACCATGTTCCCTCTCACATCATACTCTTCCATTATCTCTTCATCCAGATAATTTTTATTATTTTTCGTATATCAAATATCCCTACCAAATTTCCCCATTATAGTTGCTCATCATGCCCATACATTGCTATTATTTCTTGATGATATATCAGTTTCCTCATGGAAACATGTGCACTTGTTTCTGTGAATATTTACAAATACCAGTTTTCTCCCACTAGACTGTGAGTTCCATGAGTCAGAAAATATGTTGGTCTTAGTTCATCAATGTATCCCTGGAGTACAATAATGTACCTAACATATTGTAGACTCTTAATAAATACCTGTTGAATGAATCATTGAGAAACCTACGGCTGAGACCAAAAGAATTACAAAATTCGTACATCAAAAGTAAAAGAAAGAGCTGGGGGAAAAGCAAGAAGTAATGATGGCATGAACATGGATGGTAAGTTTAGAGAAGGGCGGGTAATAAATGTGCTACAAAGCACTTATTCTAGGTGATGAGAGAAACAGAAAAGAGTACAAAGCATAGTGCCTACCCGTTGGAGGCACAGAGGCATAATAAGGCTTATGCAAAAAAAAAAAAAAAAAAAAAAAAGTCAATTAACAATGAAAGGTAGAAAAAAATGTGAGACCAAGGAACAATATGTCATAGTATTTCAATGTCAAGAAAAGTTAAAACAGACTGGAAAAAAATGAAGGACAATAATGATTTTTGAGAACTTGCTGTGTACCAAGGACTGTGTTAAGCACTTGACAATAATTATTTTATGTAACTCTTATAATAACCCACAAGCAAGGTATTAATACCCTTAAAGATGAGACTGAAAAAGTTTAAACATGCCTAAGTAATAAAGCTTACCTGTGCAATGTCAAAATTTGAAACTTAGTGTTTCCAAATTTGAAATCGGTATACTAATCATCTATGTAGTAAAGATGAAAGTTTCGGTTTATCGCTAAAGAATGCACAGAAGTTACACAGGCAGAGGGAATGTATGAATGATAATCAGGGAGAAAGCAGAGTTGACACAAGCCATAGAGGCAAGTCAAGGTATAATGAATAGCTTAGTCTAGTCATAGCTAGAGGGTTCCTATATTAGTAGAATCCAAGATGAAGTTGGGGACAGAATTTGGGTTAGACAGGAGAGCCAATTAACAGCAGACTAAGGTAAAATTGGCTTTTATCCTATAGGCAATAGGGAAGTTACTATAGGCCCCTGAGTTAGCAAGTGGCAAAATGAAAATGATAGTCTATTTGGATTGGAGAAGGAAAAGGAAAGAAACAGATTTACACAGGAAAATTCAGCGTACTTGAGATCAAAAACTATTAGGACTGAATATAGTTATAGATTACTTAATGCCAGATCTCATTTGCAGATGAAACTGCAGCCCAATTTAGTAACTTCTCCAAAGGTGGTAGAATTGCTAGGACTGCAACTTGGTTTTCTGACTACTCTTTTCAATATGACATAGAAACAGATGAAAAAATTGAAGTCAAATAGAGGGAAACTAGAATCAAGACTAACTCCAAGATTTTAGGCCAGGATAACTGACCCAAAATATAATAAAGACATGACTGTCAGATAAAACATGATATTATTGTCAGCTACAAAGTATTTGAGAATTAATCTTTGTGGCAGAGACTCTAAGAAGGCCCCCAGTGATTTTCACCACTTTTTATTCATACCCTTAAATAATCCCCTTCCCTGGAGTGTAGGCTGGCCTATCAACTTAGTTTTCACCAAAAGAATACAGCAGCATTTTCATAATTAGATTACAAGAGACTATGACTTCTAACTTACTAGCAGAAGTTCTCTCTTGCTTGCTGTGATGAAATCAAGCTGCCATATTGTGAGATGCACTATGGAGAGGTTTTCATGGCAAGTAATTGAAAGAAACCTTTGGCTGACAGTCAAACAATTGCAAAGCCCTCAGCTCAAAACCCTCAAGTACCTAACTCATGACAATACCATGTGAGCTCAGAAGCAAATCCTTCCCAGTCAAAACTTCAAATGAGACCCCAGCCCTGGCCAATAACTTGATTGCAGCCTTTTCAAGAGACCCCAAGGACAAGAACCCAGCTAAATGTTGCCCAAATTTCTGACCCACAAAAATGAGATAATAATTTTGTGTTGTTTTAAACGGCTAAGTTTATAATAATTTGTTATACAGCAATAGACAATAAGTAGAAGACTATTTGAAAGAAAAGGCTGTTTGGTTTGAGGTGACAGAAGAATCATATGAAGTTTCTGTAGAGCACCAGGGATGGAATAAAAGTTTTTGAAGACAATAAATTGGTAAGAAGTAGAAAACAGAGAGTAAGCTTAAGAACTTCAACCAAAACATATGGCAGTGAAAAAATAAAAATATGCATAATGGAAAGGAAGAGGAAAAGTCTTTAGAAGAAGTTTAGGTAACAAAAATAGGATATTGTTTGGAAATAGGGTTTCTTTAAAGAAACTAAAATCTGTTCAAACATAAAAATTGCCATTAAGTGGGGAAAAAAGAGAATACATGATTAAAACCATTGTGCTGTGTGCAAAACCGGAAGCTTCAGTAAAAATTCAGCAGCCCAGGGGCCAGGCACAGTGGCTCACACCTATAATCCCAGCACTTTGGGAGGCCAAGGTGGGCAGATCAAAAGGTCAGGAGATCAAGACCATCCTGGCTAACACAGTGAAACCCCATCTCTACTAAAAATACAAAAAATTAGCCAGGCGTGGTGGCAGGTGCCTGTAGTTCCAGCTACGAGGGAGGCTGAGGCAGGAGAATGGCATCAACCTGGGAGGCAGAGGTTGCAGTGAGCCAAGATCGCACCACTGCACTCCAGCCTGGGCGACAGAGGGAGACTTTGTCTCAAAAACAAAAACAAAACAAAAAAAAATCAGCAGATCTGGAATTTTGCTCTCAGTGCCCATCTTTCACTTGCAGAACTATCTAATCAATAAACAGCACAACTCCATGGTCAAAGTACCCCTTGAAAATAATAAACTATGAGGGCATTATTTTATTTTAAAATGTTAACATCAGGAATTTGGCATAATATAACTAGGAACTTCCAAGATATTTTAAAGGGACTTTTTCATTTTACCTTCAATTTTTGTAATCTTGCTTTTAAAAACTTAAGTTGAATTTTCATTGAAATACTCCTTTCTTCATAAGAATAAATTTTAATATTCTGGAGGTTGCATATGAAATTGTATTTTCTCTTAAAGGAGAGAATTTCATTTAACTATTCTACTCTTATTCCACCTGGTAATTTTGATTTCAGCACAAAGGAAAATGACAAAATATAATTGACATCCTAAGACATAGTATTTTAAAAAAGCCATTTTCAGGCTTGGGTTCCAAGATGGCCAAATAGGAACAGCTCCAGTCTATAGTTCCCAGCACAAGCAACGCAGAAGACGGATGATTTCTGCATTTCCAACTGAGGTACAGGGTTCATCTCACTGGGGACTGTTGGACAGTGGGTGCAGCGCACCAAGCGTGAGCTGAAGCAGGGCGAGGCATCGCCTCACCTAGGAAGCACAAGGGGTCAGGGAATTCCCTTTCCTAGCCAAGGAAAGGGGTGACAGACGGCACCTGGAAAATCAGGTAACTCCCACCCTAATACTGCGCTTTTCCGACAGTCTTAGCAAACAGCACACCAGGAGATTGTATCCTGTGCCTGGCTCAGAGGGTCCTACGCCCACGGAGCCTCGCTCATTGCTAGCACAGCAGTCTGAGATCAAACTGCAAGGCGGCAGTGAAGCTGGGGGAGGGGCGGCCACCATTGCTGAGGCTTGAGCAGAAAAACAAAGCGGCCAGGAGGCTCGAACTAGCTGGAGCCCACCGCAGCTCAAGGAGGCCTGCCTGCCTCTGTAGACTCCACCTCTGGGAGCAGGGTATAGCCAAACAAAAGGCAGCAGAAACCTCTGCAGACTTAAATGTCCCTGTCTGACAGCTTGGAAGAGAGTAGTGGTTCTCCCAGCATGCAGCTTGAGATCTGAGAATGGACAGACTGCCTCATCAAGTGACTCCCTGACCCCCAAGTAGCCTAACTGGTAGGCACCCCCCAGCAGGGGCAGACTGACACCTCACACGGCCAGGTACCCCTCTGAGACAAAACTTCCAGAGGAACGATCAGGCAGCAGCATTTGCTATTCAACAATATTTGCTGTTCTGCAGCCTCTGCTGATGATACCCAGGCAAACAGGGTCTGGAGTGGACCTCTGGCAAACTCCAACAGACCTGCAGCTGAGGGTCCTGACTGTTAGAAGGAAAATTAACAAACAGAAAGGACATCCACACCAAAACCCCATCTGTATGTCACCATCATCAAAGACCAAAGGTAGATAAAACCACAAAGATGGGGAAAAAACAGAGCAGAAAAACTGAAAATTCTAAAAATCAAGAACGCCTCTCCTCCTCCAAAGGAACACAGCTCCTCACCAGCAACGGAACAAAGCTGGACAGAAAATGATGAGTTGAGAGAAGAAGGCTTCAGACGATCAAACTTCTCCGAGCTAAAGGAGGAAGTTTGAACCCATGCCAAAGAAGTTAAAAACCTTGAAAAAAGATTAGATGAATGGCTAACTAGAATAACCAATGCAGAGAAGTCCTTAAAGGACCTGATGGAGCTGAAAACATGGCATGAGAACTACGTGACGAATGCACAAGTCTCAGTAGCCAATTTGATTAACTGGAAGAAAGGGTATCAGTGATGGAAGATGAAATGAATGAAATGAAGCGAGAAGAGAAGTATAGAGAAAAAGGAATAAAAAGAAACAAACAAAGCCTCCAAGAAATATGGGACTATGTGAAAAGACCAAATCTATGTCTGATTGGTGTAGCTGAAAGTGACGGGGAGAATGGAACCAAGTTGGAAAACACTCTGCAGGATATTATCCAGGAGAACTTCCCCAATCTAGCAAGGCAGGCCAACATTCAAATTCAGGAAATACAGAGAATGCCACAAAGGTACTCCTTGAGAAGAGCAACCCCAAGACACATAATTGTCAGATTCACCAAAGTTGAAATGAAGGAAAAAATGTTAAGGGCAGCCAGAGAGAAAGGTTGGGTTACCCACAAAGGGAAGCCCATCAGACTAACAGCGGATCTCTCGGCAGAAACTCTACAAGCCAGAAGAGAGTAGGGGACAATATTCAACATTTTTAATAAAACAATTTTCAACCCAGAATTTCATATCCAGCCAAACTAAGCTTCATAAGTGAAGGAGAAATAAAAATACTTTACAGACAAGCAAATGCTGAGAGATTTTGTCACCACCAGGCCTGCCCTAAAAGAGCTCCTGAAGGAAGCACTAAACATGGAAAGGAACAACCGCTACCAGCCACTGCAAAATCATGCCAAATTGTAAAGACCATCAAGGCTAGGAAGAAACTGCATCAACTAACGAGCAAAATAACCAGCTAACATCATAATGACAGGACCAAATTCACACATAACAATATTAACCTTAAATGTAAATGGGCTAAATGCTCCAATTAAAAGACACAGACCGGCAAATTGGATAAAGAGTCAAGACCCATCAGTGTGCTGTATTCAGGAAACCCATCTCACGTGCAGAGACACACATAGGCTCAAAATAAAGGGATGGAGGAAGCTCTACTAAGCAAATGGAAAACAAAACTACTTTAAACTTCATACGGAACCAAAAAAGAGCCCGCATTGACAAGTCAATCCTAAGCCAAAAGAACAAAGCTGGAGGCATCACGCTACCTGACTCCAAACTATACTCCAAGCCTACAGTAAGCAAAACAACATGGTACTGGAACCAAAATAGAGATATAGACCAATGGAACAGAACAGAGCCCTCAGAAATAATGCCATACATCTACAATTATCTGATCTTTGACAAATCTGACAAAAACAAGAAATGGGAAAACGATCCCCTATTTAATAAATGGTACTGGGAAAACTGGCTAGTCATATGTAGAAAGCTGAAACTGGATCCCTTCCTTACACCTTACACGGGATGGATTAAAGACTTAAATCTTAGACCTAAAACCATAAAAACCCTAGAAGAAAACCTAGGCAATACCATTCAGGACATAGGCATGGGCAAGGTCTTCATGTCTAAAACACCAAAAGCAATGGCAACAAAAGCCAAAATTGACAAATGGGATCTAATTAAACTAAAGAGCTTCTGCACAGCAAAAGAAACTACCATCGGAGTGAACAGGCAACCTACAGAATGGGAGAAAATTTTTGCAATCTACACATCTGACAAAGGGCTAATATCCAGAATCTACAATGAACTCAAACAAATTTACAAGAAAAAAACAACCCCATCAATAAGTGGGTGAAGGATATGAACAAACACTTCTCAAAAGAAGACATTTATGCAGCCAAAAGACACATGAAAAAATGCTCATCATCACTGGCCATCAGAGAAATGCAAATCAAAACCACAATGAGATACCATCTCACATCAGTTAGAATGGCGATCATTAAAAAGTCAGGAAACAACAGGTGCTGGAGAGGATGTCGAGAGATAGGAACACTTTTACACTGATGGTGGGACTGTAAACTAGTTCAACCCTTGTGGAAGTCAGTGTGGCGATTCCTCAGGGATCTAGAACTAGAAATACCATTTGACCCAGCCATCCCATTACTGGGTATATACCCAAAGGATTATAAATCATGCTGCTATAAAGACACATGCACACGTATGTTTATTGCGGCACTATTCACAATAGCAAAGACTTGGAACCAGCCCAAATGTCCAACAATGATAGACTGGATTAAGAAAATGTGGCACATATACACCATGGAATACTATGCAGCCATAAAAAAGATGAGTTCATGTCCTTTGTAGGGACATGGATGAACCTGGAAACCACCATTCTCAGCAAACTATCGCAAGGACAAAAAACCAAATACTGCATGTTCTCACTCATAGGTGGGAATTGAACAGTGAGAACAGTTGGACACAGGAAGGGGAACATCACACACTGGGGCCTGTTGTGGGGTGGGGAGAGGGAGAAGGGATAGCATTAGGAGATATACCTAATGTAAATGACGAGTTAATGGGTGCAGCACACCAACATGGCACATGTATACATATGTAACAAACCTGAAAGTTGTGCACATGTATCCTAAAACTTAAAGTATAATTAAAAAAAAAAAACAAAACGGGAGTTTCTTTGCACAGGCTCTCTCTTTGCCTGCTGCCATCCATGTAAGACGTGACTTGCTCCTCCTTGCCTTCTGCCATGATTGTAAGGCCTCCCCAGCCACACGGAACTGTAAGTCCACTAAACCTCTTTGGTTAAAAAAAAAAAAAGAAGCCATTTTCATTCCAATATAAGGGTTTACAAGGTTTCTAGAGAGTCAGTCCACTTATTAACAGTATTTTAGTTCAGAGAAAGTAGAATTCTGTTCTACACAGGCAGGCATGAAATAAACTGTGAACAACCACTTCCCGCAAAACAACAAAAGGAATCTTGTTTATTTTTTCAGCTTCATTGAGGTATGATTGACAAATAAAAATTGTGTATATTCAAGGTGTGCAACATAATGATTTGACTTATGTATACATTGTGAGATGATTACCACAATCATATTAATTGACACAGCCATCACCACACATAGCTATCATTTTGTAGTGGGGAGGAGGGGATGAGGATACTAAAGATCTACTCCCTTAGCAAATTTCAAGTAAATGATACATTATTAACTTTAGTCACCATGTTGTATATTATACCCCCATTCATCTTATAAATGAAAGTTTGTACCCTTTGACTAACCATATGAACTCTATTTCCCTGATCCCCCAGCCCTTGGCAACCAACAGTCTACTCTTTTTTCAGTGAGTTCAACTTTTTTAGATTTCACTTGTAAGTAAGATCATGTGGTATTGTCTTTCTGTGCCTGGCTTATTTCACTTAATGACATCACAAATGGCAGGACTTACCTTTGTATGTCTGAATAATATTCCATTGTTATATAACACATTTTCTTTATCCATTTATTGGTCAGCAGACACTTAGGTTATTTCTATATCTTGACTTTTATGAAGAATGCTGCAATAAAATGGAAATACAGATATCTCTTCAAGATCCTGATTTTATTTCCTTTGGGTATATACCCATAATTAAGATTACTATATCATACAGTAGCTCTATTTTTAAATTTTTGAGGAACAACAATAGTTTGCCATAATGCTGTACCATTTTACATTCCCATCAACAGTGTGTAAAGGGTTCCCTTTTCTCCACGTGCTTGCCAATATTTGCTGTCTCTAGTCTTTTTTATAATAGCCATTTTAACAGATGGAAGGTGATAGCTTTTTGTGGTATTGATTTGCATTTCCTTGGTAATTACTGACATTGAGCACCTGTTGCAATTGTATGTCTTCTTTCGAAATGTCTCTTCAGATCCTTTGCCCCAGGTCGTTTTATTTGCTATTGAGTTGTGAGGAATATTTCCGCATTACAACCCCTTAGCAAAGGAGACAAGGGACACAACGCACAGAGAGATTATTTCCTAAATAATTTGCAGACATTTAGAAGAAGACATATTGAAGAAGACCAGCATGCTTCAGTTCCAGCAGGGCCTCTATACAGACAGGAGTTATGAACATGACCAGTACAATGACTACATCAGTTATGGACTGAATTGTGTTTCCCAAAAATTCTATGTTGAAACCCTTATTCCTAATGAGATTATATTTATAGAAAGGGCCTTTAAAGGGGTAATGAAGGTTAAATCAGGTCATAACGGTGAGGCCCTAATTCCAAAGGACTTGTGTCCTTATACAAAGAGGAAGACACCAGGGATGCATACGCAGAGGGAAAGCCATGTGAAGACACATTGAGAAGGCAGCTATCTGCAAGGCAAGGAGAGACAGACCTCAGGAGAAACCAAACTTATTGACACCCTGAACTTGGATTTCCAACCTCCATAACTGTAGGAAAATAAATTTCTGTTGTTTAAGCTACCCAGTTTGTGGTATTTTGTTATGGAGCCCTAACAAACTAATACGACATCTATTTTGTTCATCTATTATCTCTCATAGTATCCAGCACAGGCATTCAGGAAAAATTTCAGTATAAAGGAATGAATCCCAATCAGGGGTAGCTACAGAGAGAGAGAAAGAAAACAGCTGGTGTAAACTCTCTATTAAAGATGTTACTTCAGAAACTACAGAGATGTTAAGAATTATCTACATTTGTGGTAAGAAACTTAATGTATAAGGAAGCAACCTGGCCAATGCAGAAAATAAATGCTATGAAATGTCATAAGATTCAAACACTGATTTGTCCACACACAAAACCAGGACAAGGAAAGGTGATAGGCTAAACAAGACCAGAACTGAGACAACTCCCACTTTGTGGGGCTTTGTCAGTTTATGACATTACAAGGTTGCAATGTAGACATTAGAACCACAAAATATCGTTTTTGTCATTTATTATACATGAGATCACATGTATTTTTATGTAGCAGTAATATACATGGATGTATTTTATGTGTACTTTGTATGTAATCATATGTCAGAGTATTGTTTTTCTCTATTTATCCTTTTGTTGACTTTAGAAATCCCAAAATTAACAAGCTTTTTAAATGTCGTAGAAGAGAAGACAGCTGAACCAAGAGGATAGGACTGATAATGGTCTTCACGATTCTGGTGCTACTTAAAAAAAGGATACTCAAACAATCTTGCTCCTTCCTGGGACTCAGCACTCCATACACTGTCTTACAATGGATACAGGGTTAGAGTAGCTATTGTGATATTTTCAATCCTACCATAATTTTAGAAACATTATTAAACTTCAAGTCTGAAGATGCTTAAATGTATTAAAAAGCAACTGTTATCAGTCAGGGTTCTCCAGACACATAGAACAAATAGGATATATTTGGCAAATGTCAAATTTGTAGGACAGGCCGGCAGACTGGAATGCAGACAGGATTTTGTATATTATAGTCTTGAGGCAGAATTCCTTTTTTTTTTTTTTAAGGAAATCTTAGTTTTTGCTCTTAAAGCTTTCAACTGATTAGGTGAGGCCCACCCACATTACAGAGGATAACCTCTTCCACTTTTTTTGTTTTGTTTTTGTTCTCTTTTCAACTTTTATTTTGAGCTCAAGGGGTACATGTGCAAGTTTGTTACAAAGGCAAATTGTGTTTCACGGGGATTTGGGGTACAGATAATTTTGTCACCCAGGTAATCTGCATAATACCTAATAAATATTATAGTTTCTCAAACCTTACCTACTCTCACTCTCTACCCTCAAATAGGCTACAGTGTCTGTTGTTCCCTTCTTTGTGTCCATGTGTAATCAACAGAATTTAGTTCACACTTACAAGCGAGAACATGCAGTATTTGATTTTCTGTTCCTGCATTAATTTGCTTTGGATAATGGCCTCCAGGTCCATCCATGTTGCTGCAAAGGCCATAATATTTTTTTAATAGCTGCATAGTATTTCATGGTATATATGTACCACACTCTCCTTATCCAGTCCATCACTGGTAGGCATCTAGACATGATTCTATGTCTTTGCTATTGTGAATAGTGTACATGTATCTTATGGTAGAATGATTTACATTCCTTTGAGTATATACCCAGTAATGAGATTGCTGGGTCAAATGCTAGTTCTGCTTTTGGCTATTTGAGGAGTCACCGTACTGCTTTCCGCAATGGCTGAACTAATTTACAGTCACACCAACAGTGTATAAGTGTTCCCTTTTCTCTGCAACTTTACCAGCATCTTTTATTTTTTGACTTTTTATTAATATCCATTCTGATTGTTATGAGATGGTATCTCATTGTGGTTTTGATTTGCATGTCCCTAATGATAAGTCATATTGAGAATTCTTTCATATGTTTTTGGCCACATCCATGTCTTCTTTTGAGAAGTGTTCACATCCTTTGCCCATTTTTAATGGGTTTTTTGCATATTGATTTCTGAGTTTCTTATAGGTTATCAATATTAGACCTTTATCAAACGCATGGTTTGCAAATATTTTCTCATATTCTGTAGGTTGTCTGTTTATTATTTGTTTTGGGGGTTTTTTTGTTTGCTTTTTTTTGTTTTGGGTTTTTTTGTTTGTTTTTTGCTGTGCAGAATCTCTTTAGTTTAATTAGGTCCCATTTGTCAATTGTTGCAATTGTTTTTTGTGACTTCATCATGAAATCTTTGCCAGTTCCTATTTCCAGAATGGTATTTCCTAAGTTTTCTTATAGTTTTAGGTTTTACGTTTAAGTCTTCAATCCATCTTGGGTAAATTTTTATATATGGTAAAATTCAGGGATCCAGTTTCAATCTTCTGCATATGACAAGTCAGTTATCCCAGTACCATTTATTGAATAGGGAATCCTTTCCCCATTGCTTGTTTTGTCAGATTTTTTGAAGATCAGATGGTTGTAGGTGTGCAACTTTATTTCTAGGTTATCTAACCTGTTCCATTGGTCTACATGTCTGTTTTTGTATCAGTACTATGCTGTTTCAGTTACTGTAGCCTTGCAGTATAGCTTGAAATCAGGTAGTGATACCTGCAGCTTTTTTCTTTTTGTTTAGGATTGCTCTGACTGTATGGGCTCCTTTTCTGGTTCCAAATAAATTTTAGAATAATTTTTTTAATTCTGTGAAAAGTATCATTGGTAGATAGGAACAGCATTGAATCTATAAATTGCTTTGGTCGGTATGGCCAGTTAAACAGTAGTGATTCTTCCTATCCATGAGCATGGAATATTTTTCCATTTGTTTGTGTTGCCTCTGATGCCTTTCAGCAGTGTTTTGTAATTCTCATTGCAGATATCTTTCACCTTCCTGGTTAACTGTATTCCTAGGTATTTTATTCCTTTGGTGGCTATTGAGAATGGAATTTCATTCTTGATTTAGCTCTCAGCTTGGACATTGTTAGTGTATAGAAATGCTACTCATTTTTGTACATCGATTTTGTATCCTGAAACCTTGCTGAACTTGTTCATAAGATCTAAGAGCCTTTGAGCAAAGATTATGGGGTTTTCTAGGTATAGTATCATATCATCTGCAAAGAAATAATTTGACTTTCTCTCTTCTTATTTGGATAGGATTTTTTTTTAATTTTGTGGTAACACATTTCCTTACCAATTGCTTCTCTGAAAGAGATCTTTTTCTTCTGCGTTTATGAAGCTTAGTTTGGCTGGATATGAAATTCTTGGTTGGAATTTCTTCTCTTGCCTGATTGCTCTGGCTAGGACTTCCAGCACTATGTTGAATAGGAGTGGTGACAGTGGGAATACTTGTCTTGTTCTGGTTCTCAAGTGGAATGCTTCTAGCTTTTGCCCATTTAGTATGATGTTAGCTGTGGGTTTGTAATAGATGGCTCTTATTATTTTATGATATGTACCTTTGATTCCAAGTTTTTTTAGAGTTTTAACATGAAAGGATATTGAATTTTATTGAAAGCCTTTTCTGTGTCTATTGAGATGATCATGTGGGTTTTGGTTTTGGTTCTGTTTATGAAATGGATCACATTTATTGATTTGTGTAAGATGAGCCAACCTTGCATCCCAGATAAAGTCTACTTGATCATAGTGAATTAGCTTTTTGCTATGTTGCTAGATTTAGTTTGTTAGTATTTTGTTAAAGATTTTTATATGTCTGTTCATCAGGGATATTGACCTGAAGTTTTCTTTTTTCACTTGGCTCTGCCAGGTTCTGTTATCAGAATTATTCTGGCCTCATAGAATGAGTTAGAGAGGAGACCCTCCTCAATGATTTTTTTGAAATAGTTTCAGTAGGATTGGTACCAGCTCGTCTTTATACATGTAGTAAAATTCGGTAGTGAATCTGTCTGCTACAGGGATTTTTCTGATTGGTAGGTTTTTTTGTTATTCATTCAGTTTCAGAACTCGTTGTTGACCTGTTCAGGGTTTCAATTTCTTCCTGGTTCGATCTTGGGAGGTTGTATGTTTCCAGAAATGTATCTATTTCTTTTAGGTTTTCTAGTTTGTGTGCATAGAGGTGCTCATAATAGTTTCTGAGGGTTTTTGTACTTCCGTGGGGTCAGTGGTAATGCACACTTTGTCACTTCTGATTGTGTTTATTTGGATCTTCTCTTTTTCTGTATTATTAGCCTAGCAAGCAGTCTGTCAATCGTACTTATTCTTTTGAAAAACCAACTTTTGGTTTCCTTGATGTTTTATACGGTTTTTCTCATTTCCATTTAATTCAGTTCAGCTCTAATTTTTGTTATTTTCTTCTGCTACTTTTGATATTGGTTTCCTCTTCTTTTTCAAGTTCCTCTAGGTGTGATGTTAGGTTGTTAACTTGAGATCTTTCTAACTTTTTGATGTGGGTGTTTAGAGCTACAAACTTTCCTCTTAACACTGTTTTAGCTGTGTCCCAGAGATTCTGTTACATTGTATCTTTGTTTTCATTAATTTCAAAGATTTTCTTGATTCCTGCCTTAATTTCATTGTTTACCCAAAAGTCATTCAGGAACAGATTAATTTCCATTTTATTGTATGGTTTTGAGAAATGTTCTTGGTATTGATTTCTATTTTTATTGTGCTCCAGTCTGACAGTGTGGTTGGTATTATTTCCATTTTTTAATTTGTTGAGAATTGCTTTATGGCTGAGCATGTGGTCAATTTTAGAGTGTGTTTCATGAGCAGATGAGAAGAATGTATATTCTGTTTTTGTTGGGTGGAGTGTTCGGTAGATGTCTGTTAGATCCATCTACAGATTCTTGGTCAAGAGTAAATTTAGGTCCTGAATATCTTCGTTAGCATTCTGCTTTGATCTGTCCAATATTGTTAGTGTGGTGTTGAAGTCTCCCACTACTATTGTGTTTATCGAAGTCTCTTCATAGGTCTCTAAGAGCTTATTTTATGAATCTGGGTGCTCCAGTGTTGGGTGCATACATACTTAGGATAGTTAAGTCTTCTTGTTGAATTAAACCCTTTATCATTATGTAATGCCCTTCTTTTTCCTTTTTTATCATTATTGGTTTAAAGTTGGTTTTGTTTAAAATAAGAATAGCAACTCCTGCTCTTTTTTGTTTTCTATGTGCTTGATAGATCTTTCTCCCTCCCTTTACTTTGAACCTGTGGGTGTCCTTGCATGTGAGCTGGGTCCCTTGAAGACAACATACATGGGTCTTGCTTCTTAATCCAACTTGTTACTCTATGTCTTTTAAGTGAGGTGTTTAACCCATTTATGCTCAAGGTTAATACTGATATGTGCAGATTTGATCCTGCCATTATTTTGTTAGCTGGTTGTTATGTAGACTTGATTGTGTATTTGCTTTATGTTGTTGATGATCTATGTACTTGAGTGTGTTTTCATGGTGGTCATTTCCATGTTTAGCACTCCCTTAAGGACCTCTTATAAGGTAGATCTTGTGGTAACACATTTCCTTACCAATTGCTTCCCTGAAAGAGATCTTATTTCTTCTGTGTTTATGAAGCTTAGTTTGGCTGGATATGAAATTCTTGGTCGGAATTTCTTTTCTTTAAGGTTGGTGAATATAGGCCCTCAATCTCTTCGGGCTTGTAGTTTCTGCTGAAAGGTCTGCTGTTAGCCTGATGGGGTTCCCTTTGTAGGTGACCTGCCCCTCCTCTTGAGCTGCGTTTAATATTTTTTCTCTTTCACATTGACCTTGAAGAATCTGATGACTATTTGTCTTGGAGATGGTCCTCTTGTACTATATTTCACAGGGGTCCTCTAAATTTTTTGAATTTGTATGCTGACTCCTCTTGTGGGGTTGGGGAAATTTCTGTGAACAATATCCTCAAATACGTTTCCCAATTTTCTTGTTTTCTCTCCCTTTCAGATATGCCAATGAGTCATAGATTTGGACTCTTTACATAATACTATATTTTTCCAAGTTTTTTTTTTCTTGTCTGAGTTATCAGGTTGGTGCAAAAGTAACTGTGGTTTTTGCCATCAAATATGACAAAAGCCACAATCACTTTTGCATCAACCTGATAATTCAAAGAACTGGTCTTGAATCTCTGCCATTCTTTCCTCAGCTTGGTCTGTTCTGTTATTAATACTTCCTATTGTGTTATGAGATTCTTGTAGTCAGTTTTTCAGCTCTATCAGCTCAGTTTGTTTCTTTCTTAAAATGGCTATTTCATCTTTCATTTCCTGAATCATTTTACTGGATTCTTCAGGTTTTTTGGAATGGGTTTCCACTTTCTCCTGAATTTCAATGACCTTTGTTATCATCTAGATTTTGAATTCTGTCTGTCATTTCAGCCATTTCATTCTGGTTAAGAACAATGGCTTGGGAAATAATGTGGTCTTTTGGAGGTAAGGACGCACTAACTTTTAGAGTTGCCAGAATTCTTGTGCTGGTTCTTTCTCATCCATGTGGGCTGATGTTCCTTTAACTGTGGTGTAATTTGAGTACCGTCAGTTGACTTCCTTTCTGGATGTTTCCAAAAGGCCGAGGCTTTGTGCAGGGTCTTTATTTGTGGCTGAATTCTTGTCCTTGGTTTCACAGGGGCCTATAATAGCGAACTATTTTTGCTGTCAAAGTTTGGCCTGGGATCCAGTAGATGGCGCCTATGTGTAACCGCCAGTATGTAGGCTCTTGCTCAGCCACATTAGCTCCTCTCCATTTCCTCATGATTGCAGCAGTGTTCTCTCTCAGTACTCTGAGAGTGTAGGGCTCCTCTTCTATTCAATGCTGGCTGCAGATCCCAGCTTGGCACTCTCAGGCTGTGCACTGCAACCCTGGGGTGAACTCTGGCTTTTTGTTTTCTCCCCAACTTGGGAGCTGCAGGGTAAGGGACCTTGGCAGTGTAAATGGCAGAGGGCCTTTCACTTGTCTCTTGGGGCTTCACTTCACTTAATTTCTCTTAGAGAAATTAAGAGTTGCTGCCAATTGGAACAGTCAGCCCCAGGATGGGTAGCTGCATTGAGGGCCCAAGCCAGGAGGCCCTGCCTGGTGATGAACACGGGGATGAGGGGCTTGCAGGGAAGACAGAATGGCCTCTTCTCCCTAGAGCAGCTGTGGCAGGCTGGAGGTATGAGTAAAGCACTTAGGGTCTTTGTTCCTTCTCCAGTCCAAAGGCAGCAAGGGCAGTACCTCTGCAGTTGCAAAGGCGGAGGGACTTTCAGTAGCATCTGGGAGCCTCACCCTGGAGAAACAGAGCCACTGCCAATGGAAATGTTCATGCAGGGGTGGGGCAGCTCTGTGGGGGGCAGGGCTGCTTGGTGAAGAGTGGGAGGTAGAGGCTCACAGGGAAGAGAGACTGAGAGGCTGGGCTCCTCTGTCTATGGTGACTGTGTCATGCTCGAGGTGCCAGCAAAACATTCAGGCTCTTTGTTTCTTCTCCAGCCCAAGGACAGCAAGTGGTACTTCTGCAGCTCCAGTGGCAGTAGGGTTTTGGGTTGTCTCTGGGATTTCTGTAAGAATTAAAGAAAGAGGAAAGAAACATGAAATGCAGCTCACCAGTCAAGACAGTTTTATTTTAGAGAAAACAAACCCGAGAGGAGCTTCTGGCCAAGGTAGGTCAGAGGCACACTCTCTTACAGACTAAGAGTTTTTAAGGATTCAGGGTGGGAGAGTTTATCAGAGGCTTGGATTGCTTCTGTGTCTCTTTGTTGTGCTTATCTGGGAGGGAGAGTTGTGTGTCTGTTCCCAAACATCTTTCTGCAACTGCAGGCATACCCCCGAGTCTGCTTTTAGCTTCCCTATCTTAGTGCACCTGAAGGGAAAGGAATGTGCTTATTAAGGCCCACTGTTTTACTGGGGCCCATTTTATGAGTGTAAATTTTGGCAGTTACCAAAGGGACTTTCCCGCCATCCCCCTCTGTGCCCAAGCTGTCTTATCTATGTTTTACTGTCTCCTCTTTCTGGATGCTCATAGTTAGAAGAGAAGTGATTTCCTTGAAATGCATGAGGCTAGAAACAGAGCTGGAACTTAAAGTGGCGGTGTTTGTCCAAGATGACGGTGCTCCTGCTCTGTCAGTTTCCTCCCCAGAGAAACAAAGAGCCGCCACTGACTGATGTGCTCAGGTGGGGTAGGGTGGCTGTGTTGGAAGCCCAGGCAGGGAGGCCCTGCCCAGTGAGGAGTAGTAGCGGCAGGGACCTGCATAGGAAAGTCTGGCCACTTTTCTGTAAGGTAGCTGCACTATGCTGGAGACCCATAATGGTCCTTAAATTCTTCACTCCCTCCCAAGCCTGAGGACAGTAGGAGCAGGGACTGCAGCAGCAAAGATGATAGGCCTGTCTGTTACCTCTGGTAGTGCCATCCCAGAGAAATGCAGAGCCGCTACCTGTCTGAGTGCTCAGGCAGGGGTGGGGTGGCTGTGCTGAGGTCCCAGGCCAGCAGGTGATGTGTAGCAGAGGTGTAGTGGAGGCAAGTCGGTCCACTCCTCAGCAGTCTGGATCCAGCCGCTATCCTCAGGAATGTGAGAGAGCCTAGCCTACCTTGTTGGTGGAGCTACTGCTGCTGGCCTGGAGTGCCCGGGGGTCCAAGGCCCTTGGGACTTTGCATGTGCCTCAGCTACGGCTCTGCCCAGAACCCACATAGCTCTCCATGTCAGTCAAGAGGCCCCAGGGGGAGGAGGTCAGGGGGATCTCCTGTGCCCAGGGTAGCAAAGGTCTGTGGCAGAAATGTGGGCCCCTGGGGACTCTCACTCACCATTTCCCCATAGTGGGGATCCTCCCTTGACTCAGCAGCAGTCCCAGGTGGGTGGCTTCCTGTCTTGCTCTTCTCTGTTCCCCATGGACCTTATTGCTTCCTTGATGAATCCCAGTGTGTCCTCCTGAACCATCTAGTTGAAGAGCTAGTGTCTACTGGCTGCTCTATCTCCTCTCTGTGAGAGTGGTGCTCACTAGCTGCTTCTAGTCAGCCACATTGGTACTCACTCTCCTCTTTTACTTAAAGTCAACTGATTCTACATATTAATCACATCTACAAAATATTTTCACCACAACATCTAGACCAGTGACTGATCAGGCAACTGGGCTCCATAGACAAGTTAACACATAAAATTTAACCATTACAGCAAACAAAATAAACCCATGGAGGGTAGAGTTGCCAAGCTAACACCTACCCATGAAACCCTTAAATTTCTAACAAGTCATTGTGCAAATGCTATAGTAACCTTATCATCAGTGTCTATTATTCTATGAATATACAGTGCAGGTAGATGAGGCTTTACAGAAAAGTCTGCCATTATAAATACACTGGTATTCTGAAACACCACCATCTTCGAATGGACCAAGACTATAAGTGATAAAAGCATAGTAGTTCTTCAGATTAATGGATATGAAATAATTTCCCTTGCAGTTTACTTAAAATATTTTATTGTTAATTAGGATACAGAGTGAAACTGCCTGCTAAACTCTGCTAAGAAATTTATGAACCTTTAAAAAGCATGTATGCATTTTTCACTAGGTTAAGTCAAACATTGGTAGCATTACAGCTTACATAAAATACAATCTGACACAGCTCTATGTCCTTATATCTACAGGTCTAAAAACCATATCCTTTGCCTATCAGTTTATATACCTTATATGATAATATCTGTCTCCTAATCAATTACTTTAAAAGGAGGAATAGTCCAACCTGATAATTTCAAGGGTTTAAATATACTGATTCCACTCCTGATTAGCATGCTGCATGATCATTTGAATTTCTCTGTAACCCAGTTTATTGCCCTAGGCTTATTGTTTTATCTTTATCTGCAACAGGTTGAATTTTTGGCCAAGTGCAGTGGCTCACGCCTGTAATCCCACCAGTTTGGGAGGCCGAGGCGGGTGGATCACCTGAGGTGGGGAGTTCGAGACCAGCCTGACCAACATGGAGAAACCCTGTCTCTACTAAAAATGTAAAATTAGCCAGGTGTGGTGGTGCATGCTGGTAATCCCAGCTACTTGGGAGGGTAATCCCAGCTACTCTCCTGAGGCAGGAGAATCGCTCGAAGCCAGGAGGCAGAGGTTGTGGTGAGCAGAGATTGTGCCATTGCACTCCAGCCTGGGCAGCAAGAGTGAAACTCCGTCTCAAAAAAAAAGGATATTTTCAGTTGCCATCTGAAAACAATGAAGAAAGTATGACTTTTGTGATCAGTTTGCCCTGTTTTCCCAAATTTGGTCTACAGATTTTCCATTGTTCTGAAATGATTTAGGACCTTATCCTTAGTTCTCCATTTAAAAAAACGTAAGCAATGATCAACTTCAGTTTATTACTGATCCATTGATAACACCTTGTCAACTGAGGAGATTGTCATCTTATCACTTCATTCTATTATATGTCTATAATGAGTTGTTTTGTCTTCCAAAAAGATATGTTTAAGTCCTAAATTTTGGTACCTGTGAATGTAACCTTATTTGGAAAGAGAGTCTTTGCAAATGTAATGAACACGAGGACATATTGGATTAGATTGGAACTTAAGTCTAATAACTGATATAAGAAAAATGAGATTTGGCAACACACAGACACACACACAGGGAAGAAAGGAAGACAGTGACAGAGATGATGCTGCTACAAGCCAAGGAACACCAAAGATTGCCAGGAGCCATTATAAGCTAAGAAGAAACAAGGCAGGATTCTTCATCGGAGCCTTCAGAGAGAGCATGGCCCTGCTCAACCCTTGACTTTGGACATCTAGCCTGTAGAACTGTGCTGGGATAAATTTCTGTTAGTTTAAGCCACCAAGATTGGGTTGATTTGTTACAGCAGCCCTAGGAAACAAACATGTCATAAAATATTATTCCACATTCCTATGGATATACAGCTGTTCAAGTGGTCAGTTTGCCTCCATTTTGTTCAACCTACAACTGTGTGATGCCCATCATTTCTTCATAAGTCAATAGTAACATGCTAACACTAACAAAGCTCTTTTCTCTTTCAAAATATTTTATCTTTAGAGAAACACCATGTAGTGGTTTATTATGTTGTGCTGTTGTTGCTGTTATCATTGTTGTTATTGTTACTATTAATATTAGTGTTGTTATTTTCATTTTACAGGTTGAGACACAGGAACACACAACTAATTAGGGGAGAGGAGAGGTCACCCATACCACCCCAAGAGAGAAATGTACTTAAGACAGAATTCTGTGTGCTGTGACTGAAATTAAGTTTTGAGACTAGCCAGTATATAGAATATGCTCAGAAAGTATGTTTAAATAAATTATACTAGCACCTTCCAATCTCACATTCTGCCTACAGGCTGACAGTGCTGGACAAGATAGAGGCCACTGCAGGGCTCATAACATTTTATGAATTGCCTTCATATCATTTGTGGTCAGATAGTTAGTTCTATGTCTATATGCATAACCTAATAACTTTATATTTTAAATAAATTGATTTTAGGCCAGACACAGTTGTTCACACCTGTAATCCCAGCACTTTGGGAGGCAAAGAGGGAGGATAGCTTGAGGCCAGGAGTTCAAAACCAGCCTGGGCAACATAGTAAGACTCTGTCTCTGTGAAAAAAATTGAAAATTAGCTGGGCATGGGTGCATGCACCTGTATTTCCAGCTACTCGGGAGGCTGAGGCGGAAATATCACGTAAGTCCAGGAGGTTGAGGCTGCAGTGAACTATGATCATGTCACTGTACTCCAGCCTGGGCGACAGAGCAGGATCCCGTCTCTAACAAATTTTTTTTTATTTTATTTGGAGTGTCTACACTTCAATTCTTGGGGATATGAAAGGATAACATGTTCCTTATTCATAAACGTATATAACACGTACACATTCTGTAAAAAGCTAACTTGCTTTCTTGGTTTTGCATACTTTGATCACCAGCATTTTGACCTTAATAATCAAGTAGTACCTACCCAGCTGTGGTATCTATTAATACAACCAAGGGCTTTATTTTAAAAAATCAAGTGTCATTGCAAATGACTGATGAGACACCCTGAAAAACAAAAATATTAAATTTGGAAGATACTGGAGAAGATATGGTCATGTGAGCACAGTTTTGCGTCAAAGATTTTTCAGTCTTCTGTAAGTATTTTTTATACAGGTTTATATGCAAACTACAGGATGTAAATAATTGGTCCTGAAACCAATCTTCAATTCCTTCTCACACAATGTGACCGACATCTGACCAGGATGGCCAAGAGGGTAGCCTCTATTCTCTTCAGGTGTGCTCTGGCCCCACCTGTCCATCCCATGCTGCTTAGGTGCTCTTTCATCTCTAAATGGTTTTCCATTTGGGCCTCCATTCTTGTTTTGCCGAGTACAGGTCCTTACTTAGGCATTTGCTTTGTGTCTTCATAAAACAAAATTTAAACTGACCGATTCCTGTATAAAACTTTTTTTCCTTCTCCTACCATCAGCAATCACTACATCTGTGGTACCTTCAGTTAATTCCCTTTCTAACCAGGACATTCAGCTGCCTGCTCTCTGCAGCAACCCATTGCAGCTGGAATGAAGGTAAGAAAAGATTTTAAGCCCTGTGGAAGATAGTATTATTTGTTTGCAATTTATCCTTCTTCTCTGACCTTGCTATGGCTTCCTCAACACTAGCCATGGTCACTTGACTTGCTCTGGCCATTGGAACATGGGCAGAAATGATACATGCCACTTGCTTCCAAGCTGAGGGTTTAAGAGGCCTGGCAAGTTTCACCAGCCCCTTACACTCCTGTACCCACCATTAGAAGAGCATGCCTTAAGGAATCACTGGTTCCAGAATAAGGATGCTTTTAGACCAAATGTAAATACAACCTGCAGCCTAGATCCAAGCTCAGCCAATCCCAGCTAAGCCCAACTGAGCACAGCAGGGTCCATCAGAACCACTAGACCTTTAGACCAGTGAGTGAGAAATAAGTGGGAGATGGAGGAAGTAACAGCATTATTACAGCAAAGCCTGAAAAAAAATCCCTTAGGATAAGACTTTCTGAATAGGGATCAAGCTGAAAACAGATCCTCACCGAGAAGTAAAATAAAGAAAATATTCTAGAAAGGTAACAACATTAAAACTACTAAATGGTAGCTCTCAATCGCTGTTTAATAACATTCTGCCTAAGTTATTTAAAATACTATTTTCATTCACCTACAGATACAGATTATCAGATGGAAACTATAAAGCTCCATCTAATTTCTGTCCACAATTTCATCACAGAACACACCAACAAAAAGTGAGCTAATTTTCTACCAGCACTCTGATACACTATGGAAGAAAGCATCAAGGAACTAGAGGTGTCCAAGATAAAATGTGAAGCACAGAGATTAAACTGCCTTGGCCACACGCAGGGGCACAGCAGTTAACTTCCAGGGTTTCTTTTTTTTTTTTAACCTACGGTGGTTTTAGATATTGGCTGCTTTTTCACTGACCATGGTCTATTTTATGGTCTTTGATTTTTTTGGTTTTTGTTTTGAGAGAATTACCCCTCCCCAATGGATCAGATGTGTGGGAATATAAATTGGGGGCCCTATCTCCCCTTGGCCAACCTAGACAAAATGGATATCCTTTCCTAGAATGTGAATCATGAGCCATGTGGTGCAAACACTAAAAATTGCTGGAGAAAACTAATTTCAGAGCTCAGCCTGGGCAAAACTATGCAGACATTTCTGCCAGCAAGACCGTCTGGAGCTGCTTCATCCCTGATTGCTCCAAGCCTAATGCTCTATTTCTCTAATTCTGTGTGTTCACCCCCACCTTCTAAGAAACTCCTCTTTATTGTAAATTAGCCAGAACTGACATCTGTTGCTTACAGCCAAAGAATCCTTAGCGGCACCAGAAGAAAACATGAGAAGAGCTTTAAGGCATGTAGAAGAGAAAACAGGAGAGATGAAAGGAGAGTAATACCTCCTCTAGCTTGGTGTTCACTAAGACTAGATCAAAAATTGAAGCATCACTGAAAGTGATCAGCCCATGGGAAGATAAGTGTTATCACTCTTGAGAAGTTAGTTATCCAAACTCTCCTTGCAGAAAAAGAAGTCAGTGAATATATGTAAATATTATGCAGTTATTTGTGTTTTAGAATATAAAAGCCTTTAAATACATATAATATTGTTCAGCTCATCATTTGAACAGAACCTAATTAAGTCAAACATTTGTCTCGTGGACTACAGACCACAGTTGCAGGTCTTTTCCTAGGACCTTGCAATGGCCATTTCAGGTTGGGTCCTGGTAACCCAGGGGCCTTCCCAGTGTGGAAAGTTGCACACTACCAGGAAGTCCATGAGCCAACTGGACCGTCTGAGGATGCAAGAGAGCCAACTGTCTTCTCCACAACTGGTTTATATCCTTTTAAAACTCTGCAATAAAATGTTGTAAGTTACACTTAGTTTTTCCTATATTTTAACATATCATTCAATCATGTTTAAGAATTTTAGTTATATCATGCTAAACTTTGTATTTTTCTCAAAAAGTATTTAATTTCAAATTTCCTAAATCTAGAATATTGATTTCTCTTCATTTTATCAACCCAGGTAGTTTCTCTGTTGTAATCCTTAATTTCTTTGCATTATAGAGACATTACAACAAAGCACTTTAAGAAGCCAAACTTACCTACCATTTACAACAACCCTTAGTATATGACAGACATCATTGTGCTCAGCTGAAATGAGCCACAGCCTGCCTGGTTTTCAAATGTGCTGCCGTCCCTCCAAACTGGCTCCCTTGTCATCAATCTCCACCTGCACAAACACTGCAAGCGCATCCTTAATTTTCTTGACTAACTTATCAGCAGCCCCATTAATATTCTAAATTATCCTATCTAGAAGACAAATTGCTTTACCATTTGTCTTCTTTAACTATTTTCTAGTCCCAAAACCTGGTCTCTAGTTTCCTGCTATCAAGTTTTAGGGTATAATCTTTTTTTTCACTTTTCCTCCAAAACTGCGCTCTCCCAAATTTTCAAGGCAAATGATCACATGAAATCTGTACCTTTAGGCCCCTCTGAGCCTATTTATTTTCTCAACAAGTATTTTTAGAGCTCCTACTACATGCCAGGAAATCTAAGAGATCCCCAAAATACAAAGTAAACAAAAATCTTTGCCCTTATAGAGCTTGCAATTCCAATAAATAGAGACTGACATTAAACAACTCATTAAGTTGAACTGACAGTATGTGACATGGTGATAAGTGCTTAGAGAAATAATGCAGGGTAGAAAGACAGGGAATGCTGAACAAAGGGGAGATTGCAGTTTTAAAAGGAATAGTCATTGAATGCTTCATTCAGAAAGTGACATTTTTGCCAAGTTCTGAAAAGGGTGAGGGAATCACCAACATAGTTTTATGGGGGAAGAACTTTTCCAGCAAATAGCACAAAATGTCCTAGAGCCCCAAAGTAGAAATATGCAGTTGTGTCAGCCAAGACTGCACCCCAATTTATCTGCTAGTACTATTTCCTCTTCTTCATTCTGTACCTCCCTCTGCTTAAAATCAGCTCTAATAAGAAAATCTCATTACACATCCTATTCCAATGTCCATCTCTTCTGCTAGGTCACCCCATCTTCACAAAGCTGGTGCATCCCAACCCCACACATTAACTACTGTATTAGTCCATTCTCACACTGCTAATGAAGACATACCAGAGACTGGGTAATTTTTAAAGGAAAGATGTTTAATTGGCTCACAGGTCCACATGGCTAGAGAGGCTTCACAATCATGGCAGAAGGCAAAGGAGGAGCAAAGTCATGTCTTATGTGGTAGCAGGCAAAGAGAGTTTGTGCAGGGGAACTCCCATCTATAAACCCATCAGATCTTGTGAGACTTATTCACTACCATGAGAACAGTATGGGGTAAACTACCCCCATGATTCATTATCTCCACCTGAACCCACCCTTGACACATGGAGATTATTACAATGCAAGGTTAGATTTGGGTGGGGATACAGCCCAACCATATCAACAACAGATACTTCCCCCACCCTTGAGTTAAACATCTACTTCATAGAGCCTAATATAGTTTGGATCTGTGTCCCGGCCCAACTCTCATGTCAAATTGTAATCCCTCCTGTTAGAGGTGGGACCTAGTGGGAGGTAACTAGATCATGGAGGCAGATTTCTCATGATGGTTTACTACCATCCCCTTGGTGCTGTTCTCATGAGCTCTGGTCATTTAAAAATGGGTAGCACCTCACCCCTCTCTCTCTTGCTCCTGCTCCAGCCATGTGAAGTGCCAACTCTCCCTTCACCTTCCACCATGACTGTAAGTTTCCTGAGACTGCCCCAGAAACCAAGCAGATGCCAGCATCATGCTTTCTATGCATCCTGTGGAACTGTGAGCCAATTAAACTTCTTTCCTTTATAAATTACCCAGTCTTAGGTATTTCTTTATACCAACGCAAGAATGGCCTAACACAGAGCCTATTATCATCCTCAGCTGGATATCTCACAACCACTTCACAAACAAGATGTCCAAAAATGTTATCATCTTTCTTACCAAGCCTGTTTCTCTTCCTGTCCCCACTGTCTCAGTCACCCAAGTTGGAAACCTTCGATATATCCATGGCTCCTTCCACTTCCTTCCGTCCTACATCCAGTCTGTTACATAACATTAAGACAATCTTTCTTTTATAAACGTGGTACTTATAAATCTTGAGGACAAGCATGATTCTAACTCACACGGTCTTAGCAAATGTTGTTGGCCTCATTATGCCTGCCAGATGTCATGGAAGCAGGTTGGAATCTGCCTCCAGTCTGACTCAGAAAAGGTGACACTGCAGAGATATTATCAACAAAGCCCTGCCCATATCATTACACCTATCTCTTCCCAATTAAATGAAAACACACATACCACCACCTCTACCACCATAACTCATCCATTATAAACACTTCATCTTTAATAATAACATCTTTGCATGGGTTCTTATCTCTTGAGATTTATGAAGTACATTACCAATAACTTAGGCTATAAAATTTAAGAAAACCTCAGCCATTCACAGATTTTCAAGAACACGTTTAGTCTTCCAGCATGGCTAAATCTAAAAACTCAATTTACATGGATCATATATAACAGATAAGGGGAAAATGTGTATTTTCCTCATCAATAACCTAATCACAGGGGTAAGAACTCATCTGACACCTCAGTAAAAGCAACGCTTCAGACGATCTCTCCTTTGACATTACAGAGGCCTATTATGAGAAGTAAAGAAGGAGTTATGGACATTTCCCCCTGATGGAAAGAATCCAGAGGAAAAAGGAAAAGAAGGTATGAACCTCTTCATCAGTATTCCTCCCGATTCAGTTTGAATTTTGGTCATTCCCACTATGTGCACAATACAGACCATCATCAGGAACATGGACCTTGATTGCACTGACTTGGTCTAAATTCTGTCTCCACCACTTACCAATTTTGGGGTGGGAAATTTCCCCCTTAGGATCCTATGCTGGACTGGATGTATGATTTATAGACACTTTGGCAAAAATTTGGAATTTGTTTCAAGACCTGATGTTGACTTAACAATAAAAGTCTCACTTTGATTTCTAGGTCACCCTCTATAACTTTTAAAGCAATTATCTGTATGTAGTCTCATTTAATCATCATAAACACTCCATGAAACATGAAAAACGAACAGCAGGGCCAGAATATGAGATATAGGGAGGTAATTGAGAATTTGCTTACATAAAAACCAAAGTACCCTTGCTTAGATGTTCTCTAGAGTCATAAAATAGTCTCATTTTACAGATAAAAATCCTGAGACCCAGGGAAGTTAAAAGGTGTGCCAATTTCACACAGTGTGTTATTATAATCCTGATTAACAAATGAAGAAACTGAGGCATGAAAGGTAAAAAGAGTACTTAATGGCAAAGGCAGACATGGAGTCCTTAACTCTAAGTCTTGAACTTTTTCCATTTCTACATGCTACCTTTAAGTCAAAGTTTGAACTGCCCATCTGAGAGCCACCAGAGTGGCCTAAAACTCCTCTAGCCTGTCATAGAAATTTGATTTCCTTCCATAAAGCAGTTACTTAGGAAAGTCTTATTTAAAAACATCACCCAGCTATAAATGAAAACCTTCCCAACAGGGACAAAATGGAACATCTGCCTTCCTTTTGCTTAATAGAACACTGCAGAGCTGCTCTCTGCTTGGATAAATGCTATTTGGGTTTTCTTGATTTCTGAATGAGTTCTTAGTATCGCTCTCTTGAGCTCTCTCTCTCTTAGTATTGTCATTGTCTTCTTCCCCAGAATTTTGTATGTAATCATCTGTTCCACCATTGGCTTTTCTGAAACCAGTCTTCCTTGTCTTTTGTAATTATGTAAAGCTGTTCTCTTTGCAGGCCACACACTGTAGATATCTAAAACCTGGAGAGAAAACACCCTAATTGTAATTATAATGGATTTCAAATTCCTATTATTCATGTTGGAGAGAAAACATGCAGTGAGGTTTCATTACTCATTTTCTTTAAAACTCAGGAAAAAATAAAACAAACTTATTTTTGTTAGAGCGTAGTCTTTAAAAAAAATCCTTAATTACTTCTATGGAATTTAAAAAAAGCACAATTCTATTTTTATGTCTACCTATCTGAGTTAAAGAAAATTGAGGTCTTTTAGTCAGACCACGCAAATGTAAGTATAACCAACCATAGCTATACCCAAAATCAACCAATTGACCTAATTCCCCTGGGTCAGACCAAACTTCAAAACCAGCAATCATTTTGAAATTCTCAACCCCAGGAGTAGCAGGACTGCTAACTGTTGATTATTATGCAGATCTTGCACTAATCTAATTAAGTAAAATGGAAATCCAATTTCAAGCATTGTTGTACACATTTGCATATGACACAAGTAGTCAAAAATTTGTCTGAAGTTAAATGAAGCACATGTGCAGCCCCCTTCTCAATTTGAATTCAGCTTTTCCACACAGTCCCATTTTAAAATACTGCATTCTCAACTTCTGCAAGCCACTCATGGCCCAAATGCCATTGTTAATAACTGCTTGCATTAGTGTTGCCATCTCTCCTAGTGAGCATTAGCAACAAGGAGTGGGCACAATTCAAGCCTGTTTTTCTGAAAGGATCTTCTGGGAATTTCTCAGGAAAAGGAGAAGCAAATAGATGTGCTACTTGCTGCCAATTCAGTTCCTCTTAGACATTAGGAGGATGTGGGCAGTAGAGGATTAAAAAAAAAATACTCGTAACTTACATACCAAAAAAATTCTAATCTGAATTGAACCCTCAAAAATACAAGACTTTTTTTCTTTGAAAAGAAAGGGATGTATTAAAAATGGAACAACAACAAGAAGCCTGAAAGAGCCAGCCTCAGAATACCCTTGTCCCCTGAAAATTCTCACAGAAGAATTACCAACCAGTTGTCAATCATTCCAGTGCAATGGAAGAGTCAGTGTCGATGTAGTCAGTACCCTGTCTCCTCCATCTGATGCTTTAGCCCAGTGTGAACCCAGGCAGGACAGGTGGGAAAGCCAAGTCCCCACCGCAGCACCAGGTTTTCTCATACTCCTGGGGAATGACTCAGTGTTCCTTCTATTCCTCCCAATTTGATGATAAAAATGTTCTTGTTAAAGAGCATGTGTCTAGAACAGAGTGGGAAAGTGTTACACTCATATTCTATCTGTATGTATTTTGTGATTTGGCAATAGCATTTAACAAAACAAAATAAAGTATAAGAGTGAATTAAATGTGGAAGGAGAGAGAATAATGGGAGCAGACACAATAAACAGCAAGCATTTATAAAGAGCCACCACGCCAGGAAAAAAATTGATCGCTTTTATACTAGAAGAGAATTCCAAACGAAGGGCTGGAGATACACATTAGCACTGGAGGTTAAGCATTTGACACAGTACCTCAAATGATAATGAATTAATTCAGAGGAACTATGGGATAAGAACCACCAGCCAGGCTTAGTGGACATTTGACTGTGTTTTCAGCACTGGTCAAGGCGCACGGTTTACAAATGAATGACATGGTCTCTTTGCCCTTGAATAATTCACAGCCAGTGGACCAGAAGAGTCCAGGAAACCAGAAAGACTCGGATGATCCCTTTGCCTCAGGGTCAAAATCTAGATTGCAAAGGTTGGTAAAAGCTCAAAAATTATCCTGCAAAGTGTCTTTTTTACCTTCTCTCTTGCTTATAAATCACGTTAACTTGTAAACATCAGATATTGAGAGACCTCCTGTGGAGAAATCTTTACCAGATCACCCATTACCACAGACTGGACTTGGGGCTTAGGCATTTTAATACAATTGACCTTTAATTTTGGGACACAATAGTTCAACAACCTTCTAGCAAATATTTTTGAAGACATCAGCTAACAACATAGAAATAGTTTTTAAAAATCCCAACTGATTCCATCCTTCATTTTAATATGTATGTGACTGTCTCTAGGATATTTTTCTCCCTACCCATAAAATAAGTGTAGTATGATACAGACCTGCCTTACTTACCTCACAAAGCTTGAAAGGCTCAGATAATTATAATTTGTGAAAGATTTGTAAGCAGTAAGTTACCATGTTAATGTCAGCATCCATCATTATGTTCACGGAAGCCAAGGTTGCTGAACTACTGGACGCAGTTCTAATTTACAGGCCCACAGAGAGGATGTATGTGAGAAAGAACTACAGAAAGCTCAAACAAAAAGGATTATCTGCATCACGCACTTAGCAGACCAATGGCACAAGACAGCACAGTGGACACAAATCAAGACCGCTGGGATGTTGTCCTACCTCTACAATCAGAAGTGCCATTTGGAGAGAGGCAAATGATGTATGGTTCATGCCTTACTAAACATCTCTCATTGTGTTTTGAGTTCTTCCCATGATAAGCCTACTACATGTAAAAGATATAATTTTCCTCAAATAGTCCACAATATTCAGCTTCAGAATGTGGATTTTTGCCATGAGATCAAAAGCATCCATGGGAGATTTCGTGGGCTTAAATAAATGAGTGTTCACTGTTTAGGATGTTGAGTAAATCATTTCAGATCCTTTTGAAAAGGCTCACTTCGCAATACAAGGTTTTTTCAACTCAAAGTTCTATAGTCTATAATGTCCTATTTGCTATAATCCTTTGTACTGACCAACTGAATGCATTTGTGCTTGTTTGGAAGAATCCAGGAGCTCATTATGCCATCAGAGTGACTAAAGGAATATAAATGAATCCTTAGCGCTTTTCAACCCTTTGTAGTCCATCAGAAATTAGAAACTTAGGGCTGGGAGCAGTGACTCATGCCTGTAATCCCAGTACTTGGGGAGGCTTAGGCAGGAGAATCATTTGAGGTCAGGAGTTTAAGACCAGCCTGGGCAACACAGCAAAATGCTGTCTTTACAGAAAATTTTAAAAATTAGCCAGGCATGATGGGGCACACCTATAGCCCAGCTACTTAGAAGGCTGAGGCCAGAGGATCACTTGAGCCCAGGAGTTCAAGGCTGCAGTGACATATGATCATGCCATGGCACTTCAGTCTGGGTGACAGAGAGAGACCTGTCTCCAAAAAAAAAAGAAAGAAAAGAAAAGAAAAATAAATTAGAAACATAAACATAAAATTAGAAACAAACAGAACTATAATGCAAAACTTTCTTGCATAACCTGAGATAGGCATAAAATATTTTTACTATGTCAACAAATAATGTAGAGCAACTATATAACAGTCAGGGTTCAAGGCAAGAAACAAAAAACACTCAACATTTCAAAAGAAGGAAATCTAATAAGGAATTAGGTATTCTCTAAATCAGTGAAAAAGGCAGTCAGGGAGTTGCCACTGATTAGATTTTTTTGATCAAAGTTACACCCCCTTGGCTGTGCTCCAAAGGTTACTGAACTACTGCTCTGATCACCTGTTGTCCCACACCCACAAGCTGGTGGCCAGAGATTGGAATTTGGCACAAGGATATGGAAAATACTTTCATTCTTAGGGGTTGGCTTGCAGCTGACACTCTTGAGGAAAGCTGTCCTCCACCTCCCTTCCAATCTCATGCATATACATCCTACTGGCCCAACGAAAAGCACATCATCACCCAAGCTTAAAAGCAGTTTGAGAAATGTAGTCTTTAGCCTCCCAGACCTTTTATGGTGATAAAAAGAAGGTAGAAGTGAATGCTGAGTGTAATCAACTATATTTAGCCTAGCGTGTTATATGCAAAGCAGTATTCTAAGCATTTTGAAAGATTAAAAGATAGATAAGACAGGAACTTTTCTCTTAGGGAACATTTATTCTAAGAAGACAAGAGATATATGTGAAGAGTTAAACATCAGCAAAAGAGCATTATTAGTATTCAACCCAACATAAAAGTAGTTATGAGACTGAATATAAAGTTTCATGGATATGTCAAGTAGTAAGAAAGTTAGTTGGCTTTGTGCTAGGTAAGACACAAACTATTGGATGCTCTTTATTAACTCCTAAATCTTTTCAGTATATAAAGGATTGAATGGATATTTAAAACTCCTCCAGGGTCAAGGCAGACTCACAACTTCAACTATTAATAGCACTCACTACCTAACTCTCAAACTAGGTGAAAGTTTCAGCAGCAATTGATTGTGCAAGTACATTCTATGATGGAGAATAGGAGAGTGGTCTCAAAGGCAGGAGGCAAGATAAAACATCTAACACAGGCCTTGGGAGACATAAACCATAGAAATGTAAGGGACTAACACCAAGCCCATTGACCACGGTAGGCAACAGCTAGAGGGCCCATAAGCTAAGGCCCTATGAGCCTATAAAGTCCAAATATTTATCAAGGCTTTGCTTCTATATGGGAAATCACAGAGATGTTTTCCAATTGGTGATTTTCTCAGTTCTAGTTTGAGTCTGTGCTTTGTTCAAGATGTCTGTGGGCAGAGATTCCCCAGTGGCCTGTCTGCAAAGGTACTCAAGCCAACCCATAATTAAGTCTTAGCAGGTGGCACAAACGAAATAGGTAATGAAGAGACGGAAAAGAGGAATGATACTATAAGCAGGAGGCTATGGCTGTTGTGCCACGACTTATTGTAAGCTCTAAGTGACACGTGACAATTCTATCATCTGTGTAAACAAAATTACATTATTTGGAGCACCATAAAATTTCCTCTAGTTCTAAGTAGTCATTCCTTGGTTGGAAGAAATCATCATAATTTCTGAATCAATATCCTGTAGTATGTATATTTCTATTTCAGAACCACACATATTAGAAGAAAAATTTTGACCTGTAGGCAAATCTTGGTTTTCAGAATTTCTTTCTTCCAGAACCATTCCTTTTAAATCTTGGCCCATTTTTTAAAAATCAACCGGTATTAACAAATAAGAAATAAGTGTCCAGGATAATCCCATCAATGCTTTTGGTTGTATGACAAAGTAACTTTGAAGCAAAACCAATATAAATAAAAGATCTTGAAAGGAGCTTGACTAATTTGGCGTATCTAAGTACAATTCAATTCCACAAATGTTTTCTGAGTTCCTACAGCGCACCAAGCAATGGGGACACAGAAATGTGCAACACACAGTTCCAACCTTTAAAGAGACCACTTCTGTAGGGAATACATGCAAAAAAAAAAAAAAAGAAATTACATTTTGGTGACACAAGTGCTATATTGGGCAAATGCAGTCTACACTTTTAAGTAAAGAGAGAATTATAAATTTAGTGGATTCTTCCCAAAAGGAGAGAAGGCAGTAACACATTGAGGAGTTGTCACAGACTGTGCTTCCCTGGAAACTCATTCTGAGGTGGCCATATTTTAAATAAATGGCCTACTGAGAAACGCTCTTGGAGAGAGTGAAGGAAACAGAACTGGGAAAAAGGTAAAGTTGAAGTGTGAGACAATTGCAAGACAGACCTCAGCTTATCCCAGAAGGAGCTCTGAAGCTAGGGGTTCCTTCAGAGATGCCCTGTATTGAGGCAAGGGGACCAAGCCTTTGTTACTCTGACATCTATCAGTCACTGGAAGGAGGCATCCCCAAAGGAGGGGGCAATCCTGTAGTGAGGCAACCCCTCCAGCAGACGGCAATTCCTGCGGAGGGACACATTTGTGAGAGTCTAGCAGTGAACACTCACAGAAGCTGGGGAAGTGAGTGTCCAGGCAATATACCACAGCATTCACCGCAGGTATGAAAGCCCACTTCCAATACGGCATTTGTTGGGCTCATGAACAGGCACTCTCTATTTCTCCATGATACGCTTGGCAGCTGGATAAGCCACC
The DNA here is from genome assembly GCF_000001405.40 of Homo sapiens. Taxonomy (NCBI): domain Eukaryota; kingdom Metazoa; phylum Chordata; class Mammalia; order Primates; family Hominidae; genus Homo; species Homo sapiens. The sequence goes on from NC_000002.12 coordinate 53,440,562, forward strand.
ATGTTGGCAAAAGTCCTGGATCCTCCATTAATAGAGCATTTATTTGGGCCCCACATTTCCAAGAGCCAACCTCATTTCCACACTACAGGCCTTTCTACCAAATGGACGCTTTGGCCTGATGACAAGTTCAGAAAGGAGATTGGTCCAAGAGATTCACCATCCCTGAAGTGAAAACAGCTCCTCCAAATGTGAAAGATCTGTCACTATTATGGACTTTATCAGAGAATTAGTAACAATAATGAGAAAATAGTGTGACTAATTTTGAAGATAAATACACCAGAAATGTTATATCCGAAGCAGTGCTACTCTGTTCAAAGTGGTCAGTTTTTGACAATTTGTACATGATACTGTTTTGAAAACTGCTCTTTGGGAAATAATTTCAAAGCCAATGACACATTTATGGAAGACATATGATAATGTAGTGGAGAGAATTTAGGGCCTAGGTAAAAATGGGTTTGAATTCTCACATTTACCACATATTAGCTATTTTTTCCTTGGCCAATTTATTTAACCTTTGTATCTTTTTTTTATCCTACAAAATTGAAATAACTACTGGATGGGCCTATTGTGAGAATTAAATAAGCATACATATATAAGATTCTGAAATATAATAGATGCCCAGAAAATGTTATTTACTATTTTATTCCTCATTTCCTTTTCTTTTCTTTTCTTAGTCAATAAGAAGTATCAAAAAAAGGTAACATATCTTAAGCATGAGGTCTGTCCTTTTTTTAAAATATTTTTTAGTTTGGAATAGTTTTATATTTACAAAATAATTGCAAAAATAGTACAGAGAATTTCCATATAACTCATACCCAATTTCCTCTATCATTAATATCTTACATTTGTATGATGCATTTGTTACATTAATGAACCAAACGTTGTTATTGACTAAAGTTCATAGTTTATTCAGATTTTCTCATTTTTCTTCAATATCCTTTTTATGTTCCAAGTTTTTTTAAATAGCCAAACATCATTTGAAGTAAAATGTAGTAAATAAGGAAAATGACAGAATGTATTTTTTAAAAGGAGTTATCAACATAAATAAGTGAGGAAGTTCTGTATCGTTTATAAACTGACATTTACAGCCATTTCTAAAGGAGGCTTCCAAAAATGCTTCCAGCCTCAGCAGCGCCTCTGGGATTGAAGTTGGTTCCCAAGCTAACAATCCTAGAGAATCGCATGTGTCAGGTATATAGGATTGCTTTACAAACAAGCTTAGCGTGTTAGATTCTAAGCAACCTTTGTAATCATTCTCACCTTCGCCCCCTACTAATATAAATACCCTTTCAAATCCAAGCAAAAATTGCACTTGGACAAAAAAAGTCACCAAAACTTATTTTAGGAGATTAAAATCTCAAGAAATATCCTTTATTTGGACTTGTGATATAAACCCTGGTATTTCACAGATAGAATACCCCAGGGAAGGGCATCTCTACTCTATAGTAAATGAATTTGTTTTATTTTTAATAGAATAAATTCATTAAAAATAAATCCTAAAACTTATTCATAGTGATGGTTACATCCTGAGAGACTTATTCATGAGTATTTGGTCTGAGGTTATAGTAGCCTGTGGGTTTCATTGGAACTTTGTGGAGTTGTTTTGACTTAGTAACAACACATCCCTCATGCTGGGACCATGTTTTGAAAACCATTCTCACAGGTCTTCATTTGGCCCTTGCATAGTTAATGTGGCCTCAATACAGAATATGCATGCTACTGGCCTAGGGAAGAAGTATTCAAATCACTCAAGCATGTTATAGCTAGGGATTAACAAAATCTCCCTCTATACTCCAGAGTAATTAAAATATGCAGCTGTGGACAGAGCTGAGAATTGGGAATGCACCTGAACTTTTATGAAGACTCATTAAACAATTGAAGATAATCCTGAGCAAAACATACTTCTGTGTTTATTCCCTTGGTTTTTGCATGAAGACAGCAATGTTTGCTTGCCCCATGCAAAAGCGAATATGACAGACTTCCGCCTTTTACTTTTATAGTCAAGAATGCATAACTTCTTTGGGATAGACACTGCCTTCAAATGACAAGTTCTGTGCTTCCATGTTCTAGAAATACAATATCTCTCAGCCTACAGAGCTATTAAAATCTGCTAGCAAACCTCAGGGAAGCAGAAAACATACTACCTCTCTTGTTTTATTTTAAACAGAAGTTAAATGATAATTCTGAATGCTTTCGTGAGAGGAAAAAACCTCCTAACATCTACACTCAAGCCTCTTAAGTTGTCTTTTATGGCATGTTGCAAACAAGGCTAATGCCACCTCTACAATATGCATGTTACATTGTTTTCTGACCAAAACTTCATGTTCAACCCAGATCACATAGCACAGCGGTCCCCAACCGCCAGGCCACAGACTGGTCCAAGTCCTTGGCCTGTTAGGAACTGGGCTGCACGGCAGGAGATGAGCAGCAGGCAAGCCAGCACTGCCACCTGAGCTCCCCCTCCTGTCAGATCAGTGGCAGCATCAGATTCTCATAGGAGCAGGAACCCTATTGTGAACTGCACATGCAAGGGTTGCACACTCCCTATGAGAATCTAATGCCTGAGGGTCTGAGATGAAACAGTTTCATCCGGGTCCCTGGTGCCAAAAAGGTTGGGGATTGCTGATATAAACAGATGTGTTGATGTAGCCGACACTTATTTGAAGGAAAGAGAGGTGAGACACTGTTGTCTCTCTTAACCTTGACGCTCTGATCATTTCTTTCCAGCTCGTCTCAAGAATTATAAATCCAACAAGGGAAGAGACAGTAGTTAAAGAGAAATCACAGCAAAAAAGAGATGTAAATGGACAGATGCTATTAATCCAGAACACCACTGAGAGAACAATTTCCAAATTTCAACTATTTTTAGTAAGAAAGAAGCATTTCCCTTTGATACACTGGAATAGAGAATAGGGTGCACTTTACTTTTCCTCTGTTGCCACCTGCATGTATGGATACATCTCAATGGCCACACTCAGGAGGATAGAGTGTGTGCTTATGGGCCCTATTCACAGAGTCTGTAATTCTTTAAAAAGAGAAATAGTTACTTCACTTAGCACAGTGTCTTCAAGTTTCATCCCTGTTGTCACATATTGCAGGATTTCCTTTTTATGGCTACATAATACACTGATATGTGTATAAGCCACATTTTCTTTATTCACTTACCCATTGATGGATATTTATATCGTTTCTACATCTTGCCTATTGTGAATATTGCTGCAATGAATATGAGAGTGCTAGTATCTCCCCTAGATCCTAATTTCAATTCTTTTGGATAAATACCCAGAAAGCAGGGTTGCTGAATCACAAGGTAGTCTAATTTTGATTTTTTGAGAATCTCCATGCTGTTTTCCATAATGACTGTACCACTTTGCATTCCCACCCACAGTGTAAAGGGTTCCCTTTTCTCCACATCCTCCCCAACATTTGTTATCTTTTTTATATATAATAGCCATCCTAATAGATATGTGGTGATATCTCATTTTGGTTTTAATTTGCATTTCCCTGATGATTAATGACTTTTTCACATACTTGTTGGCTGCTGAGGCTCAGAAAATGATACTCCAAAGTGAAGACCTCAGAAGCAGCTTCAGAAGCAAAATCCCTTTCTGACCTCCTCCTGTCTCTCAGCCTCATTCTCTCCCAAGGCTAGCCTTAAAAACTAGAATCCCTGTTCTCTCCAGGTGGGTCATAGACACCAGAACCCCTTTTCCCCAAAGCCAACATAAAACCTAAAAATACCACTCTAACTTTCTCCCCACCTTTCTCTGTAAGAACAGACATAAATAAATAATCTGACCTACCTTGACTGTAGGTCATAAGACTCCCATTCCAGAGAGTGTCCTCCCTCAGACCTGGAAATTAAAAATGCTGCATAGAGCAGCCAAGGAGAATCTGGACACAGGCCTCGCTTGGTTTTCCCCAGCCCCCCAAATCAGTCTATTACTATTAGATCATACTCCTTTTTGTCCAATCACATTTCTACATGACAGTCTCTACTTCATCAAACCTAAGCCCAAAATCGGATAGCCTCCCCTGTATCTTTGGGTCTTCATTCTGAAAGATTCTGTGTCACAAAGAAACTTGATCAAATAAACTTCTTACGCTTTTCTCTTGTTAACATGTCTTTTGATATGGGGTGTTGGCTGTGACCCTTATGATGGGGAGGCAATGGATCATACTTTTTCTGTCGATACATAATCATTTGTATGTCCTCTTTGGAGAAATGTCTATTCAAGTATGTAGCCCATTGTTTTATTATATTATTAGGTGTTTTTGTTGCTAAGTGAAATAAGCCAGTCACAGAAGAATAAATACTACATGCTTCTACTTATATAAGAAATGTAAAGTGGGCTGGGCACGTTGGCTCACACCTGAAATCCCAGCACTTTGGCAGGCCAAGGAGGGCGGATCACCTGAGGTCAGGAGTTTGAGATCAGCCTGGCCAATATGGCGAAACCCCGTCTCTACTAAAACTACAAAAATTAGCCAGATGTGGTAGTGCCTGCCTGTAATTCCAGCTACTCCGGAGGCTGACACAGGAGAATCTCTTGAACCCGGGAGTTTGCAGTGAGCAGAAATTGCGCTACTGCACTCCAGCCTGGGTGACAGAGAGAGATTCTGTCAAAAAAAAAAAAAAGATTTGTGAAGTGGTCAAACTCATAAAATGGTGGCTGCCAGAGGCTGAGGACACAGGGAGGGAGAAATGGGAAACTGCCAATCAGTGGGTATATACCTTCAGTTATATGACATTAGTAAGTCCCAGAGATCTGCTGTAAAACATCGTGCCTATAGATAAAAATATTGTATTGCATATTTAAAATCTGTTAAGAGGAAAGATCTCATGTTTAAATGTTCTTATCACAATAAAATGGAAAATATATTTTTAAATATAAAATAAAAAACAAAAAACAGAGGAACAGAGTGAGTCTGCTTTACCACTACTGAATGAGAAAGATGATGAGCAGGGACAGTAGGGAGAGCTGACTAAGCAGCAGTGTGGGCAGGGCCCACGTAAGTTCTGCAGGCTGAGTCACATTTTCAGATCTTATTTAAAGATCTTATTTAAATAATTTGTAAGACTCTCCTGGTTGTTTCTGATGCCTATAACTAAGCCTTAAATGACTAGCATAAAAGCAGTATTTAGTAGAGCTGGTATCTCAGGGAGAAAAGTCACCATCTGCCCAGAAAAAAAGGAAATAAGGAGACTCAGCTCACAAGGACAGATTTCTTTCAAAGGTCAGCTACAGCGTTGCAAGCAGAACTCGTTTGCCGTACCCATTATCTATATTGAGGGAGTGTGGCTTTGGCCATATTTGTATGATTAAGGAGCTAATGAATCACCTTGCAATAGCTGACCTTCGAATTAGAACTGCTTGATAGTTCCTGTCAGAGTCAGTGGTTTGCAAAAAGCAGCTGCTTATAAGTAGTCAACGTAATAAGCTATGTTTACTAGGAGCTTGGACCAGAATGCATTAAAAAAAAACAACAACAACTTTAGTTGTCGAATTCTCAAATAGTTATAATATTTGTAACTTATTTATAAGTGGAGATTTTAATTTATAGAGTATTTCCCCAACATATTTTCTTATAAGATTCCATACTTAATAGCAACTTCAATTATTTTTCAACTGCATCATCTTAAAGTTCTTTCCAGCATAAGAAACTTTGGCATCGTATTCATAATAGGAGAGACTTTAAAATATGATACTATAAACACTTTGGCACCATAGCTCCTTATTGACATAATTTAAATGGACTGTAAATATTTAAAAATCCAATATTCATCTCTCAGTATTAAACTAAATTTAAAACTAGAAAGGAGAACAAGTTTCCAGTCAAAACTGGCCCCTTCATTTTTCATATTCATAAAAATGAGAGATACAAGTTTTGCTCCATGGAAATGCAACAGTAGACTATTGTTCTGAGACTAGGCTCAAATCACCTCCAATTCTAGCCAGGCAATTTCCATAACATCACACAGCTTCAGGTGCCTCATCAGTGAAATGAAGTTAACATCTTTCTTATAGAGTCGTTTCAAGGACTGGATGGCAAATTGTATGTGAAAGAATCTAGCAAATTAGTATTCATTTGACAAATATTTTTAAATCTACATCTATCTACTCTTAACTTTTCAACATGCAAGAACAAATAGAAGCCACAAAATTTCTTTCAACCTAGAGAAGGGCAGCCTCTTGATTTCAATACCTTTCATGTCTTGAATCTGTTCTTCACATCTTCTGAAACCCACACAACATCCACTGGCACAAATCACTTTATTAAACATTGCTGCTTTTTGTAGAGCTGAGATATCCACTTAATATCAAAGAAAGACAAAAGGTGTTTTAGGAGTTAAAACAGAAACTTCCAAGAACAGCAGATGTGACTTACTTGTCTTTAAAGCACTGACACACGTAGAAAGTGCTCTGAGACCTTTGGTGTGAAAAGAAATATCTAATCAGCCACTCTGAACCTCATCTTGAAAGTTAATAATACCCCCTTCACAATGCTATTGGAAAGACCAAAAGAGAGAATATGAAAATGTCTGCAGCAGTAGCTGGCCTGTATGTGGCATGTTATTTGAATCACTGACTTGAATCTCAAGCATTCTCCATATAGCTGGCAAACTAATAAAAACAGCCTTCCTCAAAATTGTTTACAAATCAAAATGTGTCTATTATGTATTAAAAGTATTAATATGGGTGATTTATACTATATTCAGGCTTTCATATATGTATATAATCATTACCTTAAGCAATCTATGTAGCTGACGTATATAAATTCTCTCTGAAAACTTCCTACCTGCCATGAATTTGACCTACCATTTTGCGACCAAGACAAGGCCTGATTCTGAATCACCAGCTACCTACACACACCATTAAGAACCACTTTATTAAGACATAAACTGCTAATGCTTCATCATATTCTATATTCAGGACATAACCTTCACTGCTTTCATAGAGTGAAAAAGAATAAAAACAGACCTGACAATTGAGAACACTCAGTTTTGGGCAGCCTCGTCTCTTTTAAACAAATGTCTCGGGATTCATTCCTCATTTTATGAAATTGCTGTGATGTTTAATGTTACTCTCACATTGCTTCTTGGAATATGTCTAAGTCATATAACTTTCACTATTGTCTTGTCTTCAAATTATTTGTATCTGTCTACACTGATGCTTCATTGGCTCAGCCCAAAACCAATCCCACTTGAAGTTAGTTTCCTGTATGCAGGGTTAAAATTCAAAACAGTTAACACCCAGTATGGTGCAGGGCAGCAACCAGTTAGAGAGGACCTTGACCCAACCACCTGAGCTGGGTTTGGCGACCACCCTGCTCTGCTTCCTGTTGTTCAGCTCTGGGGAGGTGGACAGGGGAAAGGTCTCAATGGCTGATGAGTGACGGACATTCCTCAAGAAGCTCAAGACAGTAACTATTTACCAACAAATACTGACATCTTTTGATATCTAACAACCAATAAGGCTATACCAGTGCCTCCTTCCAAATATGCACCCTAAAAATATGGAAAATCAGAGAAATAAAAGACCCCAGCATGTAAGAAGCTGCCTAAAATTCTCATCATTAAAAGACAATTGTAAGGACAGAATTACGGGAGTCTTGAAATCTCTATCTAAATGCAAATTACCTGAGAGAGAAACCCCAGAAGGCATGATAAGATCTATTATCAAATTGAAACCTATTAGTTGAAGATGCAACCAAGGGACACTGTGACAAGCAGGGCAGAACCCTGGGAGACTAGGGGAAAGGCTGGCCTAGAAGTTTGCGGAGCTGAAGGAAACAAGGAAGACTGGAGGATTCTGGGATAGCGCAGAGTTTAAGAGCACAGACAATATATTTGATATCACTCGCCTGACGCACATACTCCTTCTTGCCAAAGGGTTTGTGAAGGTTGAGCTATCAAAACTCAGCCACAGTCCACAGGCTGATGGCATGTCTGGTTTGGGTTTTCCCCCATTATTCTGAGTAAAGATAAGTAAGCAAATTAATTCAATGCTGCCAAACTTTCTCTAACCCTTTTTAAAAGACATGTTGATCAACAGTTATTTAAAGGAAGGACTTTTAACAGCCAAAATCTCTTACAGAAATTTATATTTCCTTGTAAGCAATCCATCATGCCATCTGTTTTAAAGATGTTTAAAGAAGTGGCCCAACTGAACTCTTGTGAAATAACTACAAACAGATAGAAAAAAAAAGATGAATGTCCAATAGCCCAGCCTTTCAGAGCCATATAAATGAATCACTACTAACAAAAATTGGACTAGATGGTTTCATAACTCACCTTCTGACTTGAACTTACTGCACATTCACACGGGGAACAGAAAAGTAAAAGGACCTCTGTAATTCAATAAAGCTTGTGAGCATTTTGATCTTTGCAAATATGTATCTGACAACCAAAATGATTTTATTGTAGAATCACTGAACAAGGTTTTGCATGCCAGTAGGACACTATGTAAGCTAATTAAATTCCATCCTATTGGAAAATGTGTTCTCCATTGCCTTTCAATGCATTTGATTTTAACATTGTATTACAAATTATTTAATATTGATTATTTTTCTAATGGAAGTATCAATCCTACTGTGTACGTGTCATTATTTTTCCCCAACTGAAAAATGTAAAATCTCAGAACTATATGTCACCTAACACCAATACATATGTGGATGTGAATATGGTCCCTCTCTTTAGAAGGCTCTGGAGGTATATGCATGTTGGGGGAATGAGATGTCAGAGCAACTACCAGAAAAAAATTAAGAAATCAAACACAAAATCTTCTTTTAATACAGTTATAATGTGCTTTTTCTTCTATTTCAGTTCTATTTCAGTTTATTTCAGTTTATTTTCTCATGTCAATGACTTGTAAAAGGACCCAATTATATCATTTCAGAAAAAATGATTGCTGGTGAGTGGGGAAGAAAAGGTCAGAGAAGCCTAAGAATTAATATTCAAGAAGCAGAAAAACAGTTTTTAAAAAGCAGCCGGGAATCTTCTGATCTTCTGATAATTCTGGACAGAACACACAGAAAAGCTGAATGCTGCAGAGATTTGGAGATCAGCACATGAGCAGCCAGCCATTGGAGACTGGACCATCACACTAAACAGATTTATTTGGAAGGCTGGATGATGGGGTGAAGAAGGTATATATAAAAAGACAAGAAGAATCAGGCTTCTTGCACATACGCACTCCTAAATTCTGACGAAAGAAAAATGTTGACAAACCCATATAGTAAAGCTTGGCTTTTTGGGTTCAAATCCAGCTGAGAAAGTTACTTAAACTTCCTTCATATGTAAAATGGGACTAAGGAGAGGATCTACCTTTCAGGATTGTTGTAAGGATTAACAGAGTAAATATTTGTACGTGCTTATACATGAGCTATATAAATTTTATTAAATTTTATTAATTAATAAAATAGAGATTTGTATATGTAAATAGAGATCAATTAATTTCATGTGACCCATTCACGTGAATACCTAGAACATTCCATAAGCCATATGCCTTCACTTAGCCCTGACTACAATTTAATATGGGAGTCCCAAAGATTGAAAGTTACAGTCTTCTGAATCCCAACACACTCCCCCATCCATCCCTCTGACAATGGGGGAACAGCTATGCCTAACCTCCAACCCCTCAAGGTAACAGTTAAGCAGGAAGTGTGATTAAATTAAGGTCCTGCCCGTACTTCCACGTGCTTATTTTCAGAATGGTTTAATTAAAGTTTCTGACATGAAGAGAGCTATTTCTGCTCATCTATTCAGCATTGGTTATGGAGACAGAAAAAAACTGAAATAGGCTGTTTCAGTCGATTTGTAACAGTATAGTTGTACAATCAAGCTGGAAGCGTACAAAGAAAGTTAGTCTATATAATTTTTCCTCTTATAGAGGTATTCATTAGAGAACAAATTGAGGTCTCAGAAAGAATAATGTTCAGACAAACCAGAGGAGAATGTAGTAGTTTCAAAATGTTCAGTGTGAACTCAGCATCCAAAATTTTAATAGTGCCCCTATTTTACTAGCAATTCATTCCAAAAAGCTACAGAATGGTCAAACTGAACTAATAACACATGATTCATTAATTACTACTTATTATTGCTGATATTATGCTTAAGTATTTCTATAGGCTGTAAACATAAATGCATTATTTTTAATAATTAAAATGGCAGAAACCAGGTAATTATCTGAAAATGATTTGGACGCTTCAGTTGTTATATCCTTACTGGGAAATGGATATATATCCTTACTGGGAAATGGATATATATCCTTACTGGGAAATGGATATATATCCTTACTGGGAAATGGATGCCATAGATCAGAAAAAAAAAATGTCTAGGAACCATTCATGCTTGCTAAAAGGAGAGTAAATATGCACTCCAGTTTTTCTCTCCATTCTTAGAGAATGCAGTCAGGTCACAGAGTTTGAACATCTCTTCCTGCAGCCTGAAGCCAGAGATGGCTACAGAAGTATTTACTCAGTCTACAATGTGCCAATTCCATTTGTCAGCTGGCCTGAGCAGGTGAACGATGGCGGGACTTGTCAGTCACCTAGAGGGTAGCAGCTGCTCTAGGCTCTGAAGAGGCCCGAGGAGGGAAGGGCAGCCTCATGTTGTGTGCCAGGAAGCAGCGTCTTCCTGCCCCCATGGATCTGTATTCAGCCTCCACACACCTGGGCCAGGATATTGGGCACCATCCATTATGCTGGTGATCACAGAAGTCTCCAGCTTCCTGGGGTGCTAAGGTGAGGAATGCTTAATTGCACTGCAAAATAGCTTTTGCAGGAGCAGATGTAGACTTTCACATTCTAGTGACTTTGGTGAGTGGGTAGGAAAAAGAGGGGAGAAGAGAAGGAACTGAAAAGGAGGAGGAAATAGAGGGGCAGGAGAGCAAAGATACAAAGCCTACTAGAATTTTGTCTCCCTTTTCACCTGTCTCTATCACACACAAATGGTGTCTGGAAAACAAAGAAATGGCCAGCATGCAGGGATGTGGTTGTCACTTGAACAAATGCTTTTTACCAGAATTCAGTCACAGAACAAAGATAGTATACACCTTTTAATATTTTACAGTTTTATTGCGGTATAACTGACATGCTGTAAAATGCACATATTTAAAGTGCACAGTTTGATAAGTTATATATATATATATATATATATATATATATATAGACACAAACCATGAAACCATGCCGACAATCAAGATATGAGCATATCCATCACTGCCACAAGTGTCCTCAGGCCCCACTGTAATCCCCCGTTCCCTCCCTGCCCCCTTTTCAGGCAAATATGATCTGCTCCAGTCACTAGAGATTAACTTACACTTACTAGAATTTCACATAAATGGAATTGTATACACTCTTTGTTTGTGTGGCTTCGAAGGTGGCATATACTTCTTAAATCAAGCTATCACATCTACTCTCTCTCTTGCCCCGTCATACTCTCTTCATCTTTCTCTCTTTTTTAACCTTTAAAGAGTTGTGAATTTTAACATTCACCATCCAATAGAAAAGGTATTTTTGACCCATTCACACATACCAGAACTTCACATAGACCATGTGTTATAATTGATTTGATGTCCTGATAAGGCAAATCTAAATGTGTCACCTGTCTGAAACAGCTTGAAGACCTCCTTCTCACAGAGGAATCATAGTGGTTCCTGGTCAGAACAGCAGAGTATGCTATCTCAGGTGATGAATGAAAGGGGCTATCCCATGCTGGAAACCACCTATTTAAAATACCTATCTCAATCCATCTTGGAAAAATTTTAAACATGGTGCCTGTGATTTTACCATTAGAGCTTCATTTCTTTGGACCTTAGAAGATCCCATTTACTAAAAATGCACATAGATTTTGAGATCACTGTGCCTTGAACTTTTCAGTCAGTTAAACCTCAATGAGACAATCATGAAAAGACAAATGGAAAGAAAGCACAGGCAAGAGGTAAGGAGACTCTGTTAAAGGAAGTTAGAGAACTACTGCCTAGCCTGGTTCCACAGCTGGCTCTAGCAGCCATCTTTGAAATCCGATGCTAGCATTTGAATTTGCTAATTGGGATTGTTCTACAGCTGGCTGGCCCAGGTGAGTAAGCCTGAACCCTGATCCCCACATGAAATACCACTGGATGTCAGAAATATCTGTTGCAACTTTCAGTTCTTCTACAGCAATAAAGTCACCTCAACTGAATTGATCATAACTTTAGAGAAGGAAAGTAACCCAACTCTGAAGAAAATATTTATCATGAAACCTAAATGAAAGAATCCCAACAAGTGTATCTAATTCAGGGGAACACCATGCAGACACAGAAATTCTTGCCACCACCAGAACCAATGCGTTGAACGTTGCTGTTTTGACTCTTAAAAAGTCATTATTCAGAAAAATCACCATACTCCCAAAGACAAACATCCATGCCAAAATAAGGTGGGTGAAAGAAAAATCAAATTAGAAAGGATGGAGAGAGGAGATATAAGAGGACAGCTTTGTAGCCTCAGAAAGGAGAGCAGCAGGATGGCCTCGGGTGAGTTGTGTTCCATCTCAGGATGTCAGTTTCCACCTCTGTGGAACGACAGCATCAGACTACAAAGCCCTTCCTTCCTTTGAAGTTCTAATACTCAGCAAGGCACAAGGAGAGGCAGGAAAGGGGAAAGAAACGAGGATGATAGCATCAAAAAGATTCCAACTGACCACTACATATTTGTGTCCTCTTTTATTTTTATTAAAAATCCCTAAGGACCTAATCAAGCCCAAAGCAGAGGACAGCCAGATTAAAAAGCATAAGTGGGGCCTCAATCCAAATAAGTCACAGACAAGTCATTCTGGACCCAGACTCTTAGCCATCCACCAAGAAATTTAAGAAAATAGCTTCAAGAGCAGAGCTGCTTTTAAACCCGCACCTCCACTCCAAACAGCCAAGACTCCATCTGATCCTTCCCTTTGCAGCGAGGGATTGCAGCTGTAAACCTGCCAGCACTCTGGCATTGCTGGCATTTAGACTGCAAGGTCACTGGCCTGTTAAACACATTCTGCAGTCTCAGTGAAAACAAGGCAAACCATAGGAGTCGGTGTGTCACAGAAGCACCTGGGGTTGGACGCCAGGGTCATGCTCTCTCTAACACCCTGACACTTTGCTGCTGGCAGTTAAAAACAGCGATGTTTTATGGGTTGGAGAATTTTCTTTACTTTTATTCTTAATTTTTAAGCCATAAAATTGACTATCCTTACAAGAATTTTTAGAATGAAAATAAACATAGCTAAAATGGGTAAAGAGGTGATAAGGGAATATCTTAGCTGCTCAAAAGCAATGGTTTTCAACCTTTAGTGCACTTCAAGATCATTTAGAGGGCTTGTTGGACCCCCACCCTCAGAGCATCGAATTCAGTAGGACTGGGGTGGGGCCCAAGAATTTCCAAACTGATGCTGCTGGTCTTTGAGAATGAGTGTTCTGAAAAACTTATTTTCTTTGGCTTGGATAAATCAGATCCTAGAAGCACCACCACCAATTATAATAGTTAACATGTATTGAGGGCTTACTACATGGTAGACACTAAATGCTAAATGATTTACTTATATGAATCTTCTTTAAATCCTTACACCAGCGCTTTGATGTATTGTTTGTTATTATTCATATTTTACAAGTGAGGAAACTGAGGCAGTAGGAGATTATGAAGAGAATGGCAGATAAGACTGCCAACTCCCATATGATCTATGAGGAAACTGTGGGAGCAGGTATGGTAACAAATGGTTGTGTACGTGGGATCTGAAAACGACAACTGACTGAGCAGAAGGTGAAAGACACAATGGAAAATAGCATTTCATGAGGAAAATGCTTGGGTTTTCACAGGCAATGAACTCAATAGATTCAACACCACAGCATGGCTACCCAAAAAGCCATAATGATCTCTAACTCCATTCTCAGTATCTAGGACAGGAATTTCAAAGTCTATAGCCTGCAGAGGCCACATAGGCGACATTGCTGTTACTGCAGCTACTGCTGTTGGTTTTAATAATATTATCATCATAATCAGACAACTTCCCATGTAGCCCTCTTAAGGTTTTGGTTTTGTTTTATTTTTATTTTTACTTTTATTTCTCTTCTCTCACACTCCATGTACTTCAGAGCCTAGAGTTAAGTACATGGACCAGAGTAATGCTAGTGACTTAGTACAATAGAAGTTACTTTCTTGGTCATGTGGGGCCAACCTGGTGGTAAAGAGTAACAGATATTCAGGGATCCAAGATCCTTTCATTTAGCAACTCGTCAACCCCCTGGGCCTGTCATGCCAGACCCCTATTAACTTCAATAGGGGTGGCATCAGGTTCAAGAGGCTGGAGAAGAGACTCAGAGCCAGCAAACGAGACAGAGTTTATTAAGTGAAACTTACATACAGAGCAGTCCAGTCATAGCACGCTGGGCAGAAAAATCTTCACCTCTTGCAAAAACCATGAAGGTTATATAGCATTTTCACTTAGCACCCTTCCCTAAAAACGTCCACCTGGCAAACATCATGTAACCCAAAACAAAGGGCCTTAATCCTCTATAGATACACCAGGGCTTCAGATGTTCCTCATAGATGGGGAATGAGTCTCCAAGTTGGCCACTCCCAGATTCCTTAGCCCAGAACTCTGAATACACAAACAGATGCATATACAGACAGGATCATTCTCAGGGTATGCTTAAGTTATTGCTATCAGGAGCATCCACCATACAGTCCACTCCAGCATACCTTTGAACAGCCCTCACATTCTTATCACACCAATTCTTCCACGACGTCCCTGGGGCTAGGTATGCGGAGGAGTATTCCGGCCAAACGCCACAACAGCAATACAAACAAGTACGGAAGTGGCCCCAGGCACTCAAGTTAGCTGCTTGGATGCACCACAGCAGGCCTGCAGTGGAGCAGAGGGGCAACCCTCCACAGGCCCAACAGAGTGCTTTGTTATGCCCTCGTCTGCACCAAGTCAGCAAAGAGCTTTGCTGCACACTACCTAAGGGCGGAGGATGAGATGGTCAGTGGTATATTAGTCCGTTTTCACGCTGCTAATAAAGACATAACCCGAGACTGGGCAATTTACAAAAGAAAGAGGTTTAATTGGACTTAAGTTCCACATGGCTGGGGAGGCCTCATAATCATGGCGGAAGGCAAGAAGGAGCAAGTGCCTACTCCTCTTACATGGAATGGAAGCAGGCAAAGAGAGCTTGTGCAGAGAAATTCCATTTTTTAAAATAATCAGATCTCACGAGACCCATTCGCTATCACAAGAACAGCAAGGGAAAGACCTGCCCCCCATGATTTAGTCATCTCCCACCAGGTCCCTCCCACAACATGTGGGAATTATGGGAGCTACAAGATGAGATTTGGGTGGGGACACAGAGCCAAACCATATCAAGTGGGTACAAGAAAGGGCAAGTCATGACCATTTAACAGGACACAAGAAGTTGTGTCATTCTGAGAGTACACCACACCTGGCAGCAGCCTGGTACCTGGTTTACAATACCAAATGGATTGGCCCCCTCTGTGATGCACTGCAGGAGGCTAGAGTAAGACAATGGAGGTATTACAGTGTTCTATAATGAGAGGATGTTTGTCCCCTTACGAAAAGGAAGACTGGCAATCATTATTTTAGAAATACAAAGGGGAGTAGGATGTAAAATAGGCATAACCTGTACATCCTGTTCTAGGCCCTTCCCCCTTGGAGCAGATAAATAGAACCATCAGATGCTGATTTGCCACTTCCAGGCCCATGTAATGATGTACTCCCCAGTGGGTAAATCCTGTGGCAAGGACAATAGAGATTACCCTGAGTCCCAGGTTGGGGCAAAGGCATAGTGTCCCTTACACTATCTACCTGGATCCTGATGGTGCTATCAGGTCCTGTATCAGGAGAGAACATGCGCTGGGGTGATGAGAATGTTCACGTTCATTCAGCCTGCATTTGGCTGTTGCTAAGTGCTGTGTCCACAGAGCCAGACAGTGCATCCCTTACTGGAGTTGTTGCTTCAACAGTCCATTCATCCATTTAGTCAACCCTGCTGGTGTAGGGTTGTAGGGCAGGTGGAAATACTAGTGGTTATCCAGGATCTCCAGCAAAGTGTGAGCACTGGTCACTGTTAATATTAATAGGGATCCCATAGGCTGCACACAATGCTCTAGTCCCTGTTTGGTGGTTTTCTGGGTGGCATGCTTGCTGGCATACGCCTGCAATAGCAGGTGTCCACACAAGTCAAGGCAAAGTAGCCACCATCAGATAGAGGCACCAGGTTCAAGATGCTGAAGAGACCCAAAGCCAGCAAATGAGACATAGGGTCTATTGAGGGGAACTTAACATTCAGAGAGGTCCAGTGGTGGCAGAATGGGCAGGAGAACCGCCACCACCTGCAAAAAGCATGCAGTTTATATAGCATTTTCACTTATCACTATCCCCCTAACAACATCCACCTGGCAACCTTCATCTAATCCAAAGCAAAGGGCCTTGATCCCCTGTACAGCCTGTGTTTTACAGGATGGAAGAAGGTTCAGATGTTCCTCATAGATAAAGAATAAATCTCTGGATTGGCCACTCCCAGATTCCTTTGCTCAAAACTCTAAACACACATGCAGGTGTGTCTGCCCTACAGGGTCATTCTCATGGTAATCCTTAAGTAGTTACTGCTATCAAGTGCATCTCCCATATAGAGCCTGGAAGTCCTCCAGTGATCCTCTGCATCCATCCAGCAGACAAGAGAAGAGAAAGAATGGAGCATTTCCCATAAATGGTTTTTAAGGGGCAGGCCTGAAATTGCTGGGCATCACTGCCATCCCCATTCTACTGTCTAGACCATATCACATGACCACACTTAACATGATGATGTAGTCTGTGTGCCCAGGAAGAAGCAGCAATGGTATTGTTTCGTATCTGGACTGTGTTTGCCACAGGACGTGGCTTTCCAAATCATTCGTCATCCTTCTTCCTTCAAAAATCCCAACACACTTGAAGATCCAAACTTCAGATTTTCTTAATACCCCTACAGACCTCCCAGGACCTCCCCCTTCATCCACCAATAGATTTAGCACCTAGTTTACTGTTTTTCCTCTTTAATTCTACACTGGGTCACAACCTTGATGACTTTGATATCTACCTGGATGAGCAATTCAGCATCTTGGCCTCTGTGCTGTTTGACCTCCTCATCTCTGGCAAGCTTTTTTCTCCATTTCACCTCTACCCCCAACTTTATAACAATACCTAAACCACTTCCAAAAATTTCAGCATTCTACTTGCTGACCACCATAATTTATCCATTTGGCACACTCGAACTATTATTTCCATTTCAAGATTTTTTTGACTTCATCAAAACCACCAATGCATTGGCCCCAACAATGTTTGCCACCTGCCTCCCGCTCATGTCCTCTCTCTTTTGCTCACCTAGCTAAGGGTCTGAATAATCACTGCCTTAAAAACACCACTAATTACCTAACCCCCATCCGTTATATGCCATCCATTTTACTCCCTTGTGAAAACTCCAAATCAAATTCAACTTTGCCAGCTGCCTATGCCATGCTTATACTTAAACAGCTGAACATTGTTTCTCACCAATATTCCAGCACAACATCCTCTGGGAAAATAGTTGAGTTATATTTCCCACCCCTCTGAAATTAGGCTAAAGCAGGAGTTGGCAAACTATGGCCCAAAAGACTAATACAGCTTGGTTCCAATTTGTGTAAAGTTTTATTGGAAAACAACCCCCTTATTAGTTAACAAATCATCTATGGCTGCTTTCATGCTAGAACAGCAGAGTGAAAGTGGTGACCGGGCCTGTATGTCCCACAAAGTATAAAATATTTACTCCACAGCCCGTAATAGGAAAAAGTTTACCAATGCCTCAAACTATCATGCTCAGTGTCACCTAAGTTTTAATGGCCATAAAAAGTGTCATGCATTTCATTAAAGGGTGGTGATCGTTAAATGCTCGATTTAAAGTTATAATCTTCAATTGTCTGCAAAAATAATTGATAAGTTATTTAAATAATTGTGGCCCATGATATCACAAAATAATTCGACGGCTATCATCTGAATGTTTGTGTCCCCCCAATATTTATATGTTGAAATCCTAACCCTCAAGGTGATGGATGGTATTAGGAGAGGGTGTCTTTGGGTGGTGCTATGATCTGAATGTTTGTCCCCTCTGAAACTCATGTTGAAATTTAATCTCTGCTATGATTTGAATATGATTTGTTTGTCCCCACAAAAACTCATGTCAAAATTTGATCTCCAATCTAGCATGTTGGGTGGTATTTCAGTGATGTTGAGGAATCCCTCATGCGTGGCTTGGTGCCATTGTCACAATAGTGATTCTTGCCCTGGTGAGACTGAAATAATTATCTTGGGAATAAACTAGCTCTCTCAAGAGTGGATTGTTATAAAGCAATGGCATCCCTCAGGTTTTGTCTCTTCACACACGTCTGCTTCCCCTTTGGCTTTCCACCATGATGTGAGGCAGCACAAAAGCCCTCACCAGAAGCCAAGCAGGTGCCACCACCATGCTTTTTGTACTTCCCAGCCCACAGAACTGTGAACTAGATAAAACCCTTTTCTGTACAAATTACCCAGTCTCAGGTATTCTGTTATGGCAACACCAATCAGACTGAGACAATCCCCAATATAGCAGTGTTAAGAGATGGGGACTTTAAGAGGTGATTGGGCAGTCATTAAGGCAGAGTCATTCATGGATTAATGAGTATCACAAAAGTGAGCTAGTTATCACAAAAATGTGTCTGTTATAAAAGCCAGTTTGGTCCCCTCTCATGAGCTCTCTCACCACGTGATGCCCTCCACCATGTTTTGATGCAGTAAGAAGGCCCTCATCAGATGAGCTGCTTGACCGTGAACTTCCCAGCCACCAGAACTGTAAGAAATACATTTCTTTTATTTAAAAATTACTTAATCTCAGGCATTCAGTTATAGAAACAGAAAATAGACTAAGAAAGAGGGTGATTAGATCATGAGGGCACAGCAATCATGAGTAGAACTAGCGCCCTTATTAAAGAAGTTCCAGAAAGCTCCTATATTAGTCTGTTTTCACATTGCTATAAAGAGCTGCCTGAGACTGGGTAATCTACAAAGAAAATAGGTTTAATTGACTCACAGTTCTGCATAGCTAGGGAGGCCTCAGGAAACTTACAATCATGGCAGAAGGCACCTCTTCACAGGGCAGCAGGAGAGAGAAGAAGTGAGCAAGAGAGGAACTACCAAACACTTATAAAACCATCAGATCTCATGAGAACTCACTATCATGAGAACAGCTTGGGGAGGAAACTGTCCCCATGATCCAATTGCCCTCCACCAGTTCTCTCCCTCAACACCTGGGGATTATAATTCAAGATGAGATTTGAGTGGGGACACAAAGCCTAACCATATCAGCTCCCTTGCCCCTTCTACCATGTAACGTTACAATGAGAAGATGGCCATCTATAAGGAAGTGGGCCTTCTCACCAGTCACCGAATCTCCCAGTGCCTTGATCTTGAACTTCCCAGCCTTCAGAACTGTGAGAAATAAATTTCCATTGTGCATTAGCCACCTAGTCTGTGGTATTTTTGTTATTGCAACCCAAAAGCACTAAGACAATGACTGAGATATAAATGACTACTTGTGCTAATTGCCATTGACTTTTCCTTATAGTACTTTAAATCATCATCCCATCAGAACTTACAACAGTTTTATAATGAGGATGAGGCAGATATTACTGATTATTTTAATGATAGGGGAGACGAAAACTGAGGTATGGAGATTAAATGACAACCAATCGAATAACTACACCTGAGCTGAGACTAAAACTCTAGTTTCCTACCCCTAGCCAGCCAATGCTGTCTCATTCAGCTTTGCCGCCTCTCCCAGGAAAATAGTGTCTGGTACTCATGGAAATACTGATTCCTCTGTCCCCATCATCACTAGAGGACTCTGCACCCAGGAAATGCTGACTTCCAACCAGAGATCAGCATGCTGACTCCTGGCACCATGCCCAGGGTCTGGTAAATGTGGTAGATGGCACACACAAAATGTCAGGGTGTAGACATTACAACACCCAGGTTGAACAAATCACTGCCTTCTTTAAATAGACTTTCTGTAAATTATGAAAATGAAGGTAAATAGTCAGTTTTCTGACTGTTTTCTTTCTCAGCCTGGCTTTGTGAGTTCTTATCACACATTCTTATACATCTTCCTCCAAAACAGGATGAAAGCTGACCTTTCGGTATATTTATTTCTCATCTAGTAAAACTTCAGCTAAAGCCTCCTAATTGCTTTGAAATTGAGACTAGTACTGGGATTATGTGACTATGTTTAACAGAAATAGATCTTCTGCTGGGAGGTAAAGAAAATGACCATGCATGACTTCCATAGGTCATTTCACCACAGCTAAACGTGGCTTCGGGGTCAGCCAGCCAACCTCACTGAACACATATCTTGCTTCCTACTCTTCTGGAATGAATAGTGCTCATGGTTCTTCCCCAGTCCACAATCAATATGGACTCATCCAGCCAGATGTGATGCTCTGCGTCTTTCAGCTCACTGATCCAAACCCAGCATTCATGCACATCACATGCATCTGAGACACTCCAGGGAGAGTCGCTGCCTGTGTAAATCAACCCACAGATAATTCTTAGCGTTATGTCACATTTCCATTATGGTAAATGCATGATCTAAGCACACCTTCCACCAGCCAGCCACGGATCTCCCAAATGGTCTTCCTCAGCCTTTGCTCTGTACTCCTTCTCCTTAAGCCCCAATCCCTTCATCATTAACACTGATCTACCCTTTAGGATATAGCAGAGATGCTAAATTAATCTAGAAAGTAAGCTCCCCAAGGATGTGCTAGATCATCACTCCCCTGTGTTCCTAAAGCAACTGGGAAAGGAACTGCCATAGGCTAAATTTCTACTCCCTCCTCCCCCCAGAATTTATTTGTTGACATCCCCAGTGTGATGTTATTTTGAGGTAGGGTCTTTGGGAGGTAATTAGGTCATAAGGATAGAACCCTCATGAATAAAATTTGTGCCTTTTAAATGAGGCCCCAAAGAGATCCCTCACCCCTCCTACCATGTGAGATTATAGAGGGAAAAAGACCTTCTATGAATCAGGAAGCAAGCCCTTACCATACCCTGAATTTGCCAGTGCCCTGATCTTGGCCTTCTCAGCCTCCAGAACTGTGAGAAATAAATTTCTGTTGTTTATAAACTACCCATCTTATTATATTTTGTTATTGCAGCCTGAAAATAAGAATTAAATATTAATTTCCTACTGCAAATTGCAGTAGATTTTCAGTAAGCCCTGACTCCAAATCAAAGTCAAACTAGGCTAACTACATGAACACTGTATTTTACCTCTTTTCTTGTCTGTATCCTTCCATCTGGTATATTCTAAGCTTCTTAATCCTAAGCACAAGGACTGTGTCTTATTTTTAGTACTATCTCCAGCCCCTAGCTCAAGCACCAACACTTAAGGAGCACTCAATACCAGTTGAATGAATTTTGTTAGATTGCAGAGGGTCTGGAATCTGTATTGTCTTTGTGCAATTGCAGCTGAAGGTCATACACTATACAACCAAAATGCACCAGTAGATAATGGAGATTTTGCCTAGATCAATTATCCTGGCCAAAGGTCCAACTTACAGTAATACTTTCATTCTAATTAAAAGGCTAATAGCTGCTGCAATCAAACTTACAAATATTCTACCCAGGTATGTGTTGACAACTTTTCAGTACACATTTTGCAATGTATGATTTTTTTTTTTTTTTGAATGCAGGAAATAGCTGAAAACAGAGTACTTTTTATACTGCAGAGCTGGATTTTCACTCACCTAGACTGGCTGTCCACAGTCATGCTACTAGGCAATTCTAATTGTTGTTCTCATGTGGAACCAATGAGGATAGAGGCATCATGATAGTGAGTGCCAGGCCAAGTCACAAAGCAGCTTGGTAGTCTGCACACGAAAATGAGAATTCCTATTGGTGTAAAATGTTGCTGCACTGAAAGGCACTCCATTTCTGAGATGTTCTTTATAGACATCATTGCCGGGACACTACCTTTGTCCTTGAAAAAGTGTTTTTTTTCCAGGAGCACCACTTCATGCTGAGCTACATGAAAAAGCTGAGGTATCAGCTTCAAATATACCTTATAAATAAGCATATGTTATAAATGACTATTACAATGTAAGCCACCGATTCAACATTAATAATAATGCATAAATGAGACCCAGAGGCAGACACACAAGCTAGACTGTCCCTTATAAAAGGCAGGCACACATTTATATTTTTCATTATTCATTTTTTAAAGTAAGATTCCAAATCTTCTTTAGCATACAGTTTATAGTAAATCAAATGAGAAAAGAGAAAAGAATTACTGTACACATTGTCAAAATCCTTTATAAGATGCAGGAGAAGGCTTCTGTCTGCTTGTTTTTATTATTGTTATTCCTAGTCTACTTTAATAAGAAAGGTTTCATTCTGATCTAATTCAAAAGCTACATTGCACCTTCTCTTTCCACATCCTCACCCATCTGTTTGATGACTAGGAGTTAGAAAACATGCTAGGAAAAAGCTCTTTAAATAATCAGAGTGTTACTTGTTATTTCAAGTAGTCAACAGGTTCTTTAAATGAAACTGGACATTTTTAATTCTCTTGACACTTTCAGAAAACTATCATTCAGGGCAAAATGCCACCAGTTTTATTATCAACACTACATATTTCTGTGATGCTATGGGAAAACCAAACGCTAGAAATGAATATTTCTGGAAATATTTCACAAGCATATCTTACATACATTATAGACAAAACTCCTTCTGGGTCATGCTTCTTGTGATAAATTAGTGGTGTCTTGTGCAAAAGCATGTGCATTGAAGACAGACTGGTAGAATAATCTGCATGGAACTTTTAATCAAATCTTACACAAAACCAGGGCTCCAAAGGTGGTCTTATTTCCTCCACATAAGAGAGGCAGCTCTGTTTCAATTAGTACCTCAACCTCAGAAAACACTAGCAGAAAACTGCATAATCAAAAAAAGAAATTTTAAGGCCTTTCCCAATTCAAAAAAAAAAAAAAAGAAGAAGAAGAAGAAGAAATGGGTAATTAAGGATTAAAAATACCCTGAAATCTTAATGTGGCAGTATAAACATGCCTTATGATACCATGGCAACATTCTCTCTTTTTTAATGAAATTGATTAATTAGTCTGTGAGCTTGCAAAATGTCAGAGCAAAAGGATTCAGAATGCTTCTCTTCACAGCTAAGGTCTTTCTTGTCTCTTTCTTCCAGAGCTTGTCAATCAGAAACACTAGAGGTCAATCTATGGAAGAAATCTCAAACTGCAGCTTTGTTTTAAATGCATGAGAAATATGGAGGCTTCCATAGTTTGCATTCCAAATCAGCTCAGAAGATCCAGAGATGAGAATCTCTTGGATACATAAGGCTCAAACTAAACACAGCCCCATTTGACTGGAGGGAGAATGGAAGAAGAGAACTAGGGAAGTTGTTTTGCAAATCAAGCCAGCTGGAAACAAAGTTGTGTACGTGTATCTGCGTGTATGATATAGCTATGAAGGAAAGAGACCATTTCCACGATTCATACATGGAAATATCACATGATAGTCATATCTCATACATATATACAAAGTTAAGTAGATTTAAATATATTAGCATGTTTTTACATATGTTATAGATCTCTAGGAGTTACTAAGCAGAGGCACAAAATGAAATGTTAGCCTTTGCTATTTGTTCAGGACAAAGGAGGTCATATTCTATTTTGGAAGCAGAAGCAAAGACTATATTTACTGCAAGAATGAGCCTAGTCAGAGTGAATTGTGTAGCTAGATTGCTAGTCACCTTTGTCTTATGTTAGTACTACTGTCCTACTTGCATAAAAAGACCCCTCCACACACACCTCCCTACTGCATGGAGGCCAGAAATTTCTACCACTAGAGCAGGATTACTCAATGTCAGCACTATTAGCATTCTAGTACAGATAAATCTTTGTTGTTGGAGGCTGTTCTGTACATTTTAGGATGTTTAGCACCTTTGCTGGCCTCTACCCTCTAGATGCCAGTAGCATACCCCACTTGTGACAACCAAATTATCTGCAGACACTGCAATGTCCCAGGTTCTTAGAAGGAGGGGAAAATTACCCTCAGTAGCAAAACACTGCACTAGAATAATCAGTAAGAAAAGAAAAAAAGGAGAGCACTATGTCTTCTGAAAATAAATGAAGATCACCTAAATGAGGACACACAGAGGTTACTTATTCAGGGCTTGCGATAGCAAGGGAGTCAGCTACCATCACTTGTGATTGGCAGAGATTCAAAGGTAGGCAGCGGAGTAGAAAGGCTTTATATGATCTATCAATCAGAAATGCTCTGGTTGGAGGTTGTTGGCATGGCAAGGCTGGAGGCAGGACACCTTAAGTGACTGGTTTGGGATGCATGTTTGGCTTTCTCTGGTTGGCCCTGAGATGGGAGCAGGGACAAAATAAAAATAGAGAAGCTCAAAGTCATTGAATAAGTGGTTTTCACCTTTGTGTTCCCAGTACCCACTGCAGTTCCTGGAGGCATTTGTACTAGTTTCCTTTTGCAGCTGTAAAAAGTTACCACAAATTTAGTGGGTCAAAACAATACAACTTCATTATCTTACAGTTCTGTAAATTAGAACTCTAGTATGTGTCCTAGGGGGCTACAACCAAAGTGTCAGGACTGCACTCTTTTCTGGAGAGTCTAGGCATGAATCCATTTTCTTTCCTTTTCCAGCTTCTAGAAGCTGCTTGCATTCTTGGCCCATGGTCCCATTTTCCAGCTCCAAAGCTAGCGACTTTAAATTCAGTAGTCGGCATCTCTCTCTAATTCTCTTCTGCCTCCCTCTTCTAATTTTAGGAATCCTTGTGATTACATTGGGCCCACCCAGATAACCCAAGATAATCTCCCCAAAATCAGCTCTGTAGTAACCTTAACTTATTGATTTATTAATTAATAAATTAATTATAAATTGATTTCATCTGAAGCCTTAATTTCCCTTTGCCATCCAGCATAAAATATCTACTACAAGCTCCAGGGATTAGGACATGAACATCTTTGAGGGTAATTATTCTTCCTACTACCGCACTAAATAAGCAAAGTGTAGTCCCTGGACCAGCACCATTAGCATCACGCAGAAACTTGTTGGAAATGCAAATTCCACGGCCTCATCCTACATTTGCTAATCCATAATCTCTGTGGGTAGATCCCAGCAACCTGTGTTTTAACAAGTGCTCCAGGTCTCATGCTCAAGAAACATTGATCTATACTCCATATCCATTCTACCCACTCCAAAAGTATATGGTCTATATATGAAGCCTTTTGATATTGCCACAATTAAATTCTTAGAAATACACTCTTTACCGAGTAATTACAGAGTAATCTTTCCAAAATGTGATTTCTAATCTAATAGAGGATATCACTCCTTTACTAATAATCCTTAAATGCATGTGATGGTTAATTTTATATGTCACCTTGACTGAGTTAAGGGATGCCAGAGAGCTAGTAAAACATTATTTCTAGGTGTGTCTGTGAGGGTGTTTTCAGAAGAGATTAGCATTTGATGATGATTAGCATTTGATGATTAGCATTTTCTATGTAACTATATATATTCCATTGGTTCTGTTTCTCTGGTGAACCCCTAGGTAATCCACTGCAGAGATACCGATGACTTCATGGGCTTCCTATTATAGGATGGCATGGAGAGGAGAATAGGGAGGTAGCCCAGTGGGAAGCAGCTGTGGAATTTTAAGTCGGGCCTCTACCACAGAAATTTTCAGGTTTTGAGTGTGTAATGAGTGATTTTATGTGTCAGCTTGACTGAGCCCCAGGGTGCCTTGATATTTAGTTCTACATAATTTCTGGGTGTGTCTATGAGGGTGCTTTTGTATGCAATTGACTTCTGAATCAAAAGACTGAGTAAAGCAGACGGCCCTCCCCAATCCCTAGAAGGTCTGAAGAGATAAAAGGCTTAGTAAGAAAGAATTCCTTCTCTCTACCTGACTGTCTTCAAGCTGGGACATTGGTCTCCTGCCTCCAGACTTGAACAGGAAACTATACCATCAGGTCTCCTGGTTCTCAAGCCCTCAGACTCTGACTGGAACTACACCATCAGCTCTCCTGGGTCTCCAGCTTGCTGATTGTGGATCTTAGGACTTCTCAGCCTCCATATTTCATGAGCCAATTCCTTATAGTAGATAGATTATAGATAGGTAGGTAGGTAGGTAGGGAGAGAGAGAGAGGATAGATTCTATTAGTTCTGTTTCTCTGGAGAATCCAGACTATTAATTAACGCAGGATGGCAACCAATTAAAGGAGCACTTAGCAATTTATTGAGTGCAGCTACTATTGTTTTTCATAAAATAGAGTGTTTTCATAAAGTGTTAAAAATAAATAAAATAAAGTGCACAGCACATAGAAAGGGTTAAGTATTGTCTGGTGAATCTTCAGTTTCTGTGATTCATATCCATATAGGTGTACAGTTTGACATCAAGTACTTTTCTTCCTATAAATCAGTGTCAGGCCAGTCACGGTGGCTCACGCCTGTAATCCCAGCACTTTGGGAGGCAGAGGCATGTGGATCACCTGACGTGAGGAGTTCAAGACCAGCCTGGCCAACACGGTGAAACCCCATCTCTACTAAAAATACAAAAATTAGCTGGGTGTGGTGGCAGGCACCTGTAATCCCAGACACTCAGGCAGCTAAGCCAAGAGAATCTTTTGAACCCAGGACTCAGAGGTTGCAGTGAGGCAAGATTGTGCCATTGCACTCCAGCCTGGGCAACGAGAGTGAAACTCCATCTCAAAAAAAAAAAAAAGAAGAAGAAGAAAAGGAGAGAAGGAGAAGGGAGAAGGGACAAGGGGAAGAAGAAGAAGAAGAAAGAAGAAGAAGAAGAAAAAGAAGAAATCAGGCAGGGTCAATACAGCTTGAAAAACCTTGCTCAAGGAGATGTTGGACTGGTGCTGGACACTTCTCCTGGACCACCCTGTATCTCTTCCCCTGGAAGTGATTCCATCCTGAAACGATGGCCTATTTTGCACAGCACAATTAGTACTTGGCACATCCAACTATCACGTGATTCACTGTGATTTTTTTTGCATGTGTCTTAACTTCTCAGTCACACTCTAGGTTCTCTGTGAACCAGGACAGGCTTCATTCTGCTTCACAACTTCCTCCAAGCTTGGCCCACTGTCTGACACATAAAGTAGATTGTTAATGAATGTTGGTTAGTTGGCTGAATTTTACAAACCGTCAAGTTTATTAAGAGAATCAGGTGAAATGTTTAGATGGGAAAAAAACCAATGGCCTCTCAAAAACAGTCCAAATGCCAGATGTCCCCTTGAAAATGACAACCAACTAGCAGTCCAAACAAGTGCATTAAGCCATCACTAGCAAGAGACAATGCAGCTGCGACCCTGCATTAATAAAGAGAGCAGAAACCAAGACAACCTGTTTTCACTCTGCTTGGAAATCTATGCTCTTCCCCAGCCATCAAAATTGAGTGAGAAATTGCAGTGGATACAATCAGCTCTTATTTATTATCAACATTTCACAGCAGCAAGCATTAATAATACATCTTATACTTACAAAGCTTTTGTTTTCAGCTTTCCCTCATACTGAGCCAGCAAGATTTGAGAATGTCTATGGAATCCAGCCTTTGTTGGTAAAAGAAGAATTTCAAAGAGAGGGAAAAAAAATCAAAATATAAAGCTATCTAAATAGTCAACATGCAATTATTCAATTATGCTACTTTATGATATATCTGACATAAGTCATTATAATAAAGCCAGAAACAAATGCCACACATAAAACAAGAACCACCAAAATAAGTCCTCGGTATGAACAGAGCTTCCTGCCTCAATGCATAATTTATACTGTCTATAAAACCAACACCTGGGAACTGCTAATTTAATTAGTTTGTATCGAACACTTAATTATAGTAAGCCAAGGTTTAGGACTAGCTTGACAGCTGTTTTCATTACATCTAATTAATCTGTGGCATTTGGTTCTTTTTCTCTCGCTGTATTAGTCAGCTCAGGCTGCCATAACAAAATACCAGTTTGGGTGTCTTAAACAATAGAAATTTATTTTCTCACCATTATGGAGGCTGGGAAGTCTAAGATCAAGCTTCCAGCAAGGCTCACTTTTTGGTGAGGGTGCTCTTGCTGGCTTGTGGGTGGTTGCCTTCTCACTATGTTCTCACATGGCCCTTCCTTGGTGTGTGCACACAGAGAATGAGAGAGATTGAAAGAGACGGAGAGACGAGATGGAGGTCTCTGGTGTCTCCACCCTTATAACCTCAGTTAACATTAATTAACTTCCTTAGAGGTCCCATCTCCAAATACAGTCATCCTGGGTGTTAGGGCTTCAACACATGAATTTGGGGGTAACACAAATATTCAGTCCGTACACTCGTCTTGCACAGACTGTAAAGATTATTTGGTTTTGTTTGGTCTGAGGAATCAGTTCCACCAGACGATATCATGTCCATGTTATACTCCCTTAATTTTCCCTCATTCCAACCATTTATGTGCCAACAGTAGAAAGTGGTGCCTGCTCAAGGATACTTCATCTGTCTACCATGGACTCACCAACCCTACCCAGGAACAACCATGTTGGCCCAGCATCTCCCCCACAAAGTTTTCCCCGACAGCCCCAAGCTTCATAAAGGAATTCATTCATTTATTCACCTATCAGCACACATTTACTAAGTCACTTACACCGGGCACTGCACAAGACAATAGAGTTACAGTGTCAAAGAAGCCCCAGTCCTCGCCACCAAGGAGTTCCCAGCCCAGTGGAGAACACAGAAAGGAAACATTAAGAATTCAGGAGAAACTCAACCTTAACATTTGCAGGCCTCAGGCTGAGGGTAAAAATAGGGGCCTGCATATTATATATTAGAATGTCTAAATTATATAATTCAAGCTAGCAAGCAGTTACATAAAATATGTTCTTTCCTACAATCTTAATAAATATAACTTCAAAATTACCTGGAAGACAGATTCCAATTTAGAACTAGCAGAACAGAAAAAAAAAAAAAATGCATCCTGTGGCTTACTGCCCTTCTCTTCCTTCCCCCAGCTCCAGGCTGCCTGGCAAGGGGTCTGGCACACACATGTGGACACCTTCACATGTCCAAGCTCTATCCACAGCCCCTGCAAATAGCTGTCCCTTGATGGATCAAATAAAAAGACCTACAAATGTTCTGGAAATAGACTCAGGGCAGAGGGTTTTGGAGCCTGGGTTTGAAGTGTGTTCAAGGATTGGGGCACCCATCAAGAGGGACATTACAAAAACAACAGAGCAGGGCCCTCTAAAGCAGTGCTTGGCAAATACCTGCATGAGCACCACCTAGAGACTGCGTTAGAACATGGATTCCTGAACTCCACCCCCAGAGATGAGGCTCCGGTGGGTCTGGGGTGCAGCCCAAGAATTTTTATTTCTAACAGTTCTCACAAGATGTCTATCAGTGGACCATACAATGAATAGCCTGATGCACAGGACCCAGGACACGGCTCTGTTAAGTCAAGTCTAATGGTGGCACTGATTTAGTGAGATATGTGCTACCAAAAAACTATGCAGAGTGCTAGCTGTAGCCACAGTAAGTGTATATACACTTACATATATACAAGTATACACTGAGAGCCAACTTTGTGCCAAGTACTATAGTGGCCGCCTCATTCATTCACCAAAGAATTATTGAACAAGAAACTATGAATGTGGAAGAACTATACACCAAAAAAGGCCCATCTTATTGTATGTACATTTAATTTTTTTAATGTAAAAATGCTTAAAATAAAAAGCAAAAAAAAATCAATCTGTTCTAGAGATTTCCACTTTTTTGCAGGGGGGTCCTGTTTATAGTATCATATATGATCAAACTGCGCTAGAATGTTCACACCTGTTACTGCAAATTCAAATCCCAGGAAAGACTTCTCCTGGGAATTTACTTTAGGTCAGGGTTGGGGTGCCTGGTACAAGGCTGCACCCACAGCTGGGCAGGTTCAGCCACACAGGAGCCTTTCCCCAGACCATGAGAGTTCCACTTCTAACAGCAGAGTATCTCGTATCAGAATGTTACTCCTGCTACCAATTATCAACTCTCGTCAAAATATTTTAAAAACTTGGAGGCACTAGAAAACAATCTACTGTGTGCCAGATGCAAGTCTAGGCATGAATACACTTCAGCGGGAAAAGAAAAAGTTCATGGCTTCTTTAATATATATGCCTGTAGCATACATCCACAATTCTCATCATATTAAAAATCAATCATAGACAGCCTCGCTTCAAAGAAGAGGAAACTGTTTCTGAGATGTTAAGAAATTTGTTGCGCAGAACCCAGCAGAGCAAATATTTGAACTCAGGCCACCCCCATGCCCTCCCTGCTCTACAGTGAATAATGGGGGAAACACAAGGGAGACACGGAGCTCTAGGTAGACCTTCTGAAAGAGGCAATGAGTTTTAACTAAGAAAAGTTAGCAAGGTACAAGGAACAAAGGAGAATCACAATTGAAATAAAGACCTTCCAGCAGAGAGGAGGGCTTGTGTGGAGGCTGGAGTATTATATAGGACGATGAACAGAAGGAATTAAGAGTGGATTCTTTTATCTGCAATGAAGGGTAGTCACAGCAAAGTGGGAAAGCAGGTAGGGGGCATATGCATTGGGAGAATAACTCATGGATATACGCACGAAGCACTAAGCAAATGGGTTTCAGGGAAAGACAAAGCAGGCTTGGGAGATTCATTTCTGAGATCCATTTTATGCATGTTCTTCTAGTCCTCTCACCTCCTGTAGTAATTAATGTCCACCAAGTTTGTTTTGTAGCTACTTACACACCTTCAAATGAAACCTGTTGATGTTTTGAACATTTATTTAGGTAGTCTGTTATTATTCCACCATCCACATGTCGTCTGCATCTTGGCACCTCAACAGCCTGCATCATTTGTGAGCAAGAACTGTGTGGGTGGATTTCAGAGAACAGCCCCTCATTATTTGTTGATTTGGTTCAAAAATGACTGAAGTGTCAATATACTTTGCAAGGAAGTTATTAGCAATGAAAATGTCAAGTTACTTCTCACTGGTGATGAACAGAACAAACACAACATGTCCCTTATGAAGGTGCTCAGTAACATTCATATTTGTGGAACCCAATTTGAAAAGCAGAGAGAAACAGAACTAGTTCCTAATTGGACAGGTTTCTTTATTACATCTTGATCTAAGCAGAGCTAATAATTTTGGTCATAATTTCTCATATGAATCTCAAGATGGTTATAAGGAATTGAAAATCATCTGTAAAATTCTATCAACTAAATATATTTCACCAACTCCCTTACGTGTTCCTTTAACCATTGAATAAGAGAACAAATGAGATTTATCACAATATATTTTAAAATCATGTACAATAGAAAATAGCATCAAGGTGACCTCCAAGGAAGTGAATTCTCTTTGTGTGCTGAACTGGAGGTGTCAAGGGAATATTGATGTCACTTTGGTTTTTTGCAGCAGAAAATGTACACAGTAGTCGCCAAAAACAGAAATATAGACTCCCCAACTTGCAGTGTAACATCCCATTAAGGAGGTGTAATTTCTTAATTCCCTCAGTATCTAAATCCCTGTATGAAGTATCCACTCTCCACAAAGAGGAATACTACCAAATCTGGCACAGTACCTTAAACCATGTTGAGTATATGGCACAATTTGCCGTAAGGCAGACTTCTGTTGGCCCCTGCCATAGAAAACTCAATTTTAGCTGTGTACATACAGAGCAAGCCACTCACATTGGGAATGAGGATGGACAAGAGATGAGTTAGAACCTTTTGGGATTATATTGAGGCTATCTGAAGGCTGCTTCTCACCAAGTTGACCTTAATGTTCCCCTCAGCTTGATTAAACGTTAGACAGGCTTCTACCTGCTCACAGGTCTCTGACTTCCCTTAGAGCATTTACTTTATAAAATTCGCAATTGGAGCTGGGCATGGTGGCTGATGCATATAATCACACTTTGGGAGGCCGAGATGGAAAGATCCCTTGAAGCCAGGAGTTCAAGACCAGCCTGGGAAATATAGTGAGACCCCATCTCTACAAAAACAAAAAAAAATTAATAGCTTGGCATGGTGGCATACACCTGTAGTCTCAGCTACTCAGGAGGCTGAGGCAGGAGGATCCCTTGAGCATGGGAGTTTGAGGCTACAGTGAACTATGATCTTGTTAAAGCACTCCAGCCTGGGTGACAGGGTGAGACTCTGTCTTAAAAAAAAAAAAAAATTCAATTGCACGTTTTTATATGCCCCTTTGAGATGTAAATGTTTTATGACTCAAGAATGTCTTTCTCAAGGACCTGGAAACCATCCCTTTGAAATGTAATCATCAAGAAAGATACTCCTCCTATCTCCTAGTCTCTGTGGAAGGGTAGGAGCCTAACTTCCAATATGGACAATTAGCAAACACAGATGACCTAATCACATTGACTAACCTCCTGCTGGGTTCTTCCACAAGATGATCCGAGAGCAATGGGAGAAAGGAAATAAGAAGTCTAATAGAGCATCCATGCTTTCCAAGGTTCAAAATTAGACTTACGAGTTGGGGTGGACCAGGGAGGATGTGACCAAGACACAGTGGCATGAAAAGACAAAAGGCCCTATGAAATAAAATTCCCTGGAGATTCTGGGCTGCTGACTCAGGATCAAAAACTAAGGGTTTGGGGCTGGAAGAGCATATGGCTATGTCCCGTGCTTTGGGGGACAATGACCAGCCTTGTGAGAGTCCCCTAAGAGAACGGTAGTCCTAGAGTCCAAGCTTGGGCACACTGTGTCCTGTGCATGGACCAGGCACTATAAGCATCGGGAACCAACAGCAACAGCAACACCTTGTGGCTCCAAGAGACAATGGCCATGGAAGCCTCTGCTTGGCTTTTGATAGACAGGGTTGGTTCCCCTCATTCAAACAGATGAGCCCCAGAGTTTTTAGGCAGTTAGAGGTTGAGATGCGGGATAGGTGAACTTCAAGTGGAAGATAATGGACTTCCTGCTCATAGCACAGCTGCTCAAACAAGTGATTTTTAAAAGTAAAGAGATTTTAATGCATTTAAAGAGGAAAGTACACTGACATTTCTGAGCTGGTCATCCAACACAGTTTTTAGATTTTTTTTTTTTTTAATGAAAATAGACATGTGACAAAAAAGTACTTCTTTCTTTTCTAGAGACATAGAAGAAATATTTTTGAAGGTGTGGAAACCAGAACTCAATCACAATTGGATGGGTGGAGATGGAAGTTTTCAGCTGGAATAATTTCCAAGCTCATGTCTTCTCTCTACCGGATATGACTTAGTTTATTATAATAATAACACTGAGAGCCCTGACTAGGGCCCTGGGAAACCTCTAAGAAGCTCCAGCTGTTCAGTCACTTTGGCCATCAGTTACTTTGTTCAATAGTTGAAGGAGGCAGCAGCGTTAGAAGCAGTGAATCTGCCTTGGCGTCAACAAAGGTTCTCTGCTTCAGATGGAATTCTTAAAGTTACCTAAGATTTATTAGGTAATAATAGGCAGACTCAAATTACCAGGAATTTTATTTTTAACTTAACAAGTCTTACCACACAGATAAGACATCTCTATAGAAAAATTATAAAAGAAAACATCCCATAATCTCACCACCTATTGATAAGCACAATAGTATTGTCAATATTCTAATGTAGATATTTCTAAACTTTTATAAAAATATATACTTTTAACAAAGTAGATTCACAATGTATATCCCATTAGGTAAAACTTTTTTCTCTTAGTACATCAAACTTTTTGTTGTCGTTGTTTTGTTTTTATTTTTTACAGATAGGGTCTCACTCTGTCACCCAGGCTGGAAAGCAGTGGCACAATCATACCTCACTGCAGGCTCAACCTCCCAAGCTCAAGTGATCCTCCCACCTGAGCCTCCCAAGTAGCTGGGACTACAGCTAGGCATGGTGGTGCATGCCAAATTACTATTATTAATATTTATTATTGGGTTTTTTTTGTAGAGACGAGATCTCTCTATGGTCCCGAACTTCTGGCCTCAAGCGATCCTCCTGCCTCAGCCTCCCAAGGTGCTGGGATTACAGACATGAGCCACTGCACCCAGCCATAAAATCTTTTCATAGGCAGTAAATATAGATATGCTACATTACACTAACTGAACACAGTAGTTTGAGAAATTTCTACAGACTCTTTAACAACTATTCAGACGTATGTATATACACAGTAACATGCACAATATTTTCATTTTTAACTTATGGAATTTAACTCTTCTTTGTGACACAGCTGTACCATTTTGTGAGTCTGCACTAAGGGTACATGTGACAATGGGGAGTTGTCATTTCTTTATCTTTTTTTATGCCTTACAACTCAACCTCCATTCCCAATCACTGTATCAAGAAGAAAGGAGACAGTCTCACACAAAGCATTCAAATATCCCATCGTTCTGCAGTCATTAGTAAGAAGCATATTTCAATGTGACAGCTGGATGACATCTCACCCTCTCTATTAGGATGGAGAGGAGAGGATGCCCATTTCCAGGAGGAGGGCTGCATGCCTGATGTGTGAAACCTATCAACTGATCTTTTAGACCCCGTCTATTACTTTACATCATCTGCACTCTGTTAAATCATTTCACCCCCACTAGACAACCAAGTAATATCTCCACCAAACCTCAGCATGCTCTGTTCTCCAGCCCCACTTCTACTGCTGGGTTGTCTTAAACTTTCTTAAATTAAAAGACAAGAAACAAGCTTTCACTCCCAGAAGCCAGTAGGCCTCCTGCTGCTTTTGAATGAAGCATCTCTGACCTTACCATAAATATATTAAGCAAAGAAAGGTTAAAAATCCACTGAGGGGAACATGGTCAGCCATGAGTCATTTATGCCCTGGGGTGAAATGAGAAGTCATAAATTAAGGTAAATCAATTCCAATGGTGTATCAGAGGAGAGGAAAGACATGAAAATCTCAGGCTGCCTCATTACTAATATAGGATCTGTGCGTGGTGAGTAAGTCTCCAAAGATGTGGAAGTTAAGTGGAGAGAGGAAGAGAACCTGCTCTGAGAGGAATGGGTAGGGATACTTTAGCCAGCAATGATTTCCGCATAATTATTGTGATTCATAAACAAATAGACGAAAGCAAATTTTTGAAACCACACTACTTGAGCTAAAGCTAATTTCAAGCCCCCCTCGAAAATTAATTTCAAGCCCCCTGTTATATGTGCATATGACAGATGTGGGATTGATTATACATTCTGTGACTCTGCCATGCATTACCTAAGATGACCCCAAACTCAAAGGCCCTTATGCCTTCCAAAGCTCAGCTGCCATTCATCACTATTTCTTGGGTGAACTGACTTATTCAATGGCATAAGAAAAATATCTGGCTCCTAGACTCTTACATCGCCTTCCTGCCATTCCAAAGTTCTCTTATTAGTCATATTGACCAAAAAAAAATGCACATGCTATGAGTACATTTAGTTATTACCTATCAATCAAAATGTGGCCCCTGGTCCTGCCCAACTCCCTATACTTCTGTTTTATATTCTTTCAAAAAATCTTTATTAATAAAGGCAATTCATCAAGTGTAAAAATAAATGCAACCATACCTTTTAGATGTCTTCCATGTAAAGCAACACAAATCAGACAAAATACTACATGGGATTAAGTTTCCAGGTGAAATCTGATGAGAAGTATTCAAATCTACACATCTGGGAATATCAATGAATTCCAAGTAGACAGAGGCCACAATTAAAGTTTCAGCCTCTTGAGCTGTTTCACTGGTCTGTAGGCTCCATGAGAGTTGAAACAATGTCTGAGTTGTTTACCACTGTATCCCCAGCACCAAGCACAGTGGCATAGAGTGAATATTTACCAAATAGTGGTATGTAGAAGAGAGGAAGGAAAGGAGGGAGGGAAGGAGGGAAAAAAAAAAGAGTGATTGGAGGAGGGAAGCACAGGAGTGGAGCAAGCCACATGACTTTTTCTTTAAAAATAACTACTTCGTTCTTTTGGTGAAAAATGATTCATAATTATTATAAAAATTTGAGCCATGCAGAAAAATACAAAGAAGAAAAAAAATCACCCCAAACCTTGTCACAAAGAATAAGTATCATTAGCATTATATGAACAAATTTTCAGCCATTTTCTATGAACATATACAAATAAAAGCACTAACACACTTATATCATCATCTTATAAACCTGAATCATACTGTGCATTCTATCACTTTGATTTAAGCTAGCCCAAATGAGCCTCCCTCCCCAGCAGTCAGTTTTCTGATCTTGGTAACTAAAATTGAACACACTGAAATGTAATGACTATGGCTCTGTCACTGGGCCTCTCAGGTGTGGCTGGTCTGCGTGACAGGTATCACTGCCCCAGGGCAACAGACTGCCACCAAACTGACACAGCCCTGATCAACTTCAGCATTTCAGCAACAAATGAATCATTAGACTGGCATCAATGTCACTGACCAGGACATAACACAAATAGGGCCAAATCAGACTTACCTTGGCAGACTAAAAAGCTGACATAATATCTGTTTTCCATCTAGTTTTATATAAAATGATAACAAATAAAATAGCTATCAGTGTACCGGCCGGGCGCAGTGACGCATGTCTGTAATCCCAGCACGTCGGGAGGCCAAGGCAGGTGAATCACGAGGTCAGGAGTTCAAAGACCAGCCTAGCCAAGATGGTGAAACCCCATCTCTACTAAAAAATACAAAAAAAATTAGCCGGGCATGGTGGTGGGAGCCTGTAATCCTAGCTACTCAGGAGGCTGAGGCAGAAAATTGCTCAAACCTGGGAGGCAGAAGTTGCAGTGAACTGAGATCGTGCCACTGCACTCCAGCCTGGGCAACAGAGCAAGACTCCATCTCAAAAGAAAAAAAATTGCTATCAGCGTACCTTCACAATTGAGCACCAATTTCTCCTTTGGGGTCTCTACTTTGGACCACAAAGCTAGTATCTTTTGATATCTTTTAAGGCAAATTTGGACTATCTAGGGGTGATAATTGAGTTTGAGATGAGGAAGTGATGTGGACATGCTGAGCTTATTCCTCCTCTCTTCCACATCTGACTCCCAGCAAAGACATTTCCCTGGTCCACCACCCTTGAGGTATATGGCACACAGCAGGAAACACTCTGCCCCACGTGGAAAGGACTGCAGTCATCCAATGCAGCCTAAGATTAGGTGAGTAATTCTGATTCCAGGGTTCAATAGTTAGAAGCTCAGACCTAAGCTTTTTCATATAGCCATATCAGCAACAAAACCAACATTTTGATCTTCATTAGACTCCTTTCTTGATTGGATTAAAACTTGAGACAGGAAATGAGAGTGTAATTTATTAGCTCTTCCTACACCAAAATCCTATAATATACATCAAACTCTTATTCCATAACTGCTTTGGTTTATTTCAATATATAATCTACAGAATACATTGGGTACTGATTAAGAAATCAATTCATATGTATCAATTCATGCTTACACATATATATGTGCATTAAATATATGAAGATATGTCTATAATCATCTGAGTTATTTGCACTTTATCAATTTTAATGAAATAGTCACACTTTCCAAGAATGCAGCAATGTTTTTCTACTACCACAGAACTTGAAGTTAGAAGATGCTATACATACATAGAGAGATAAACAGATGTATATATAACAATTTCTGGTCTTCAAACCTCCTTTCAAAACTCACACTCATTGTTATTATACATGAATATAAAAAGTTTCTAAAACAAGGATCAGCAAAGTATAGCCCACAGGCCAAATTCAGCCTGTTACTTTTTTTTTTATAAATAGAGAGCTAAAATGATGGGTTTTAGATTTTTTAAATATTAGAAAAACAAAAGTTATGCAACAAAGACTATGCATGGCCCACAAAACCTAAAATATTTACTATCTGCTTTTTTTCACTTAAAAAAAAAAGCTTGCCAAATCCTGTTCTAGATCAACTCTTTCTCAACACACACACACATACACACACACACACAAATATTCTTGTCTCCTACCCTAAGGTTAATTCTAGGTCCTATTAGTGGAGGATAATGGTTAGAAGCATGAAATTAAACAAACTTGAGTTCAAACCCAAGCTTTGACATGATTTGCTACGTGACTTTATGCAAGTTACTTTGCTTCTCTGAGTATCAACTTCCTGGTCTTTAAAAGAGAATAATAATGTGCCTAGTTGATAAGAGTTTCAGGTAAAGCTTTAAAAACATAAATGTAAAGAAATCAGGGTAACGCCTGTCATGTGGAAGTGCTCAATAAATTAGTTACTATTACTCAAATCTAGTTATATTAATACATTTCTTGTTCTATATACACTCAAATTTAACCATTCCTGCTCCCACAATCTACCCCAGATATAAATTATAATATTTCTCATGTATCTAAAATCAACTGTTCCATACAGCTAGAGGCAGTCAGAAAATAAATATAAATGTTCCCATAAATACAGTCCTTTCAATTTTTCTATGGAAACAAGTGTAAAGCTATTAGTAATGCTGAATTCAAATATTTCAGAGAAAAATACTATAGCATAGAGAAGCTTGGTCAAGGTGACCAGCAACCCTCCCTAACATGTGAAAACTCCATAGAATACTTCATTGCAATTGGATTTTTGTACAAAATAATTTAGTGTGAGGGCAACCAGCTCCTTACACAAAACAAAGGCCAAATGAATAATCATGCTCTGAATTAGACAACTACAGACCTAAGTGTTCACAGTTAAAAATAATACAGAGGTGACTTAGCATGTGTTTCTGTTTTGAGCTCACACAAAAGGCTTCTTTTAAAAACTGTTTCGGTGTCTTTTGACCTTGTTGCAGAAGTTTTTAAACCTTTTGTCCCTGCCCTCTTGAACTAGCCCATATCCAACACTTGTTCTCACACTGAACTCAATCATAGCTCTTCCAAAAATATATTCAATAGAAGTAGCTTCCCTTAAGGCACTGCCTGACTTGTGTCTTTATCCTTTGACAAGGAAAGCAAGAAAGAGTTGCCACTCAACTTTAGGCAATATTTGTGGTGATAGCAGAGGGGTTTTATCTCTACCCTAAGCCCAGAAGATTCTCTCAATCCTTTCTTGCAGCATCATGTAACACATTATTCTTCGGAATTCCCAAGAACTGAGAAGTCTGCGTATAAACAGACTCCAGAGGCCAATTACTGATGGTAACAAGTTACATTTGTATAGCAGGTATTAAACTCATGTTTGAAACTCATATGTTAAAAAATATGGCATTTTTATTTTTGACCACTTAAAATTCCTATTTCAACCTGCCATTCTGAAGGAGTGGAGAAAACATCATCTTAATGACCTCTTTCCCAAGGTGACCCATGATTTCAGGAGAGTGGGGCACATACATTTGCCAAGGGGGCCAGGAGGAGGGTCTGTCATGGTTGGAGCAGCTGAGAGGAGCAAGTAGTTAAGAGTGTACAGAGCCAGATTGACTGGGTTTCATTGGCTCTGCCAGTCACTAGCTATGAGACCATGGGTGAGTCACTTAACCTTCTGTGCCTCAGTTTTCTCATCTGTGAACTGGGTTATCACCTATGTCACAGGGTTATCATGTGGATTAAGCAAGTTAACATTCATAAAGCGCTTGGACAGCCTTTAGTGCTTGGTAAGCACTGTAGAAATATTTGTTAAATAAATAATAAATACCTTCCTGTCATGAAGGCGTCTGCTGAGGCCCCTACCTGGCCCTGACTCAGTCTGCCATCCAAGCATGAGATATCCCTCATACCTGTTCGAATAGTCCCATCAGTCCAGTGGATCTCTCTGCTACTACTCACTCTTGAGAGCAAAGGAATGATCCTACTTCCATGTCCAGTAAGGATGGAGAAAATCCCTGGGAGGCTGTATTCATACCCAACACACTAATGCAAGTCATAATTATATAAACATATCCAACATGGGGCAATTATTCTAGCTGTAATCCCCCCATGTCTTCAAAGAATGCCAACGTTTTTCTGTTTCATGAGAAAAAAAAACACCATGCAAATGTTAAACCAGAACTCAAAATTTACTGTCTCTAAAATCAAACAGAAAGAAAAACAAACCCATTTATTCAAACACTTGAGATTTTCCTGTCTTCCACAAAGGGATGCCATTTCAGTAAAAAAATGGTTTGACTCCATCCCAAAAATCCCTCAAGGTAAAACGTTGTAACTTAGATGCTTCTAATTAGACAAACTTCAAAGAGATATTGGCTGAGAAAAATCCCAAAGTATATTTCCAAACTGTGGAGACAGGTTTCTAAACTCATAATGTTTTACATTAATATGAAATACACAGTCTTCTAGATCTGAGCTGTCCAATACTGTGTAACCAATAGCCACATGTGGCTACTGAGTACTTCAAACACTGAAAGTCCAAATTAAGATGTGCTGTAACTATAAAATAAATATCAGATTCAGGAACTTAGTATGAAAAAAGGGAATGTAAAATATCTCAATTTGTTTATATTGATTACATGTTGAAATGACAATGTTTGGGATATATTGGCATAAATAAAATTTAGCTGATATTAATTTCACCTTTTTCATTTTTTAAATGAAACCACTAGAAAATTTAAGATTACAGATGTGACTCACATTATATTTTATTATAAAGCACTGATCTAGACAATATAGGACCAACCCTGTGTATTAATTCAGAGTAAACATATTTCTAAATAATAAATCTGTCAACTAGTCATTATCTTTTGATCTTAGAAAAAAGTATATATTCTTTGCTGTTTTCTCACTGTAGAAGGGGCCAAACTTGAACTATTTGTTCCTTTGAGTAGCCTAGGAAATGCTAATACTGTTTTATTTATGTTTTTTTCTTCAATTTTTTAATTATTTTATTCCATTTGAGTTCATGTAGTCACTTACTCTAAAAATTTAGAGTAGTAATCTATAGTAATTTTTATTACCAACTATATCCAAGGCTTCTTCATTTCTATTCATTGCTATTCCAACAGACTGTTATTCATAATAGATTAAAAACCTGGAACCACTATGACTAGAATCAATAGCTTCGGTTTGACAATAACCAAGAGGTAAAAGTTTTTTGACAATCATATTTCACATGTCTGGCCCTGTAGTATCCCAAGAGAAAGTTCTATGGTTATTCTGTTGCCTGCACTCCAAAACCAGTGAAGCCCACAATAGGGCTAACAATTCTTTAGTCATTTTATTTTGGTTTTTTTGTTTGCTTGTTTTTATTTTTTTATTATACTTTAAGGTTTAGGGTACATGTGCACAATGTGTAGGTTTGTTACATATGTATACATGTGCCATGTTGGCGTACTGCAACCATTAACTCTTCATTTAACATTAGGTATATCTCCTAATCCTATCCCTCCCCCCTCCCCCCACCATCTCACACCAGTTAGAATGGCGATCATTAAAAAGTCAGGAAACAACAGGTGCTGGAGAGGATGTGGAGAAATAGGAACACTTTTACACTGTTGGTGGGAATGTAAACTAGTTCAACCCTTGTGGAAGTCAGTGTGGCGATTCCTCAGGGATCTAGAACTAGAAATACCATTTGACCCAGCCATCCCATTAATGGGTATATACCCAAAGGATTATAAAACATGCTGCTATAAAGACACATGCACACGTATGTTTATTGCAGCACTATTCGCAATAGCAAAGACTTGGAACAAACCCAAATGTCCAACAACGATAGACTGGATTAAGAAAATGTGGCACATATACACCATGGAATACTATGCAGCCATAAAAAATGATGAGTTCATGTCCTTTGTAGGGACATGGATGAAGCTGGAAACCATCATTCTCAGCAAACTATCACAAGGACAAAAGTCATTTTATTTTGTCAGTGAAACTTCCCGTTCCATTCCTCTCCACAGGCGTTACAAGCCTTTCCTATCTCTTGCAGGCCCATCTTCACCAAATCCTGTGTCAGTGCCCGCCTCTCCTACCAGCCTGTTGGATAGCTCCTCCTGGGTGTTTCCTCCACAAAACTTACCCACATTCCACTTGTAGCATGACTCAATCTAGGTGGGATTCACCTTTTACTATTCTTTCAATGATCTGTCCTATCACGTTCAGTAAAATCAGTTCACTATTCCCCAAGGGCTCCCTTTTCCTTTGTCTATAGAATCTCTGTGGTCCAGATGCTCCTGAGACCTATTACGCACTTCGGAGTAGGAAAGAAAAAGTAAGCTTTCTGCCTGGCACAGTGGCTCATGCCTGTAATCCCAGCACTTTGGGAGGCCGAAGCAGGCAGATCACGAGGTCAGGAGATCGAGACCATCCTGGCTAACACAGTGAAACCCTGCCACTACTAAAAATACAAAAAATTAGCCAGGCCTGGTGGCACGTGCCTGTAGTCCCAGCTACTCGGGAAGCTGAGGCAGAATTGCTTGAACCCGGGAGGCAGAGGTTGCAGTGAGCCGAGATCGCGCCACCGCACTCCAGCCTGGGTGACAGAGTGAGACTCCATCTCAAAAAAAAAAAAAAAAAAAAGAAAGAAAGAAAAGAAAAGTACGCTTTCAGCTCTTCCTTGTAAGAGCAGAGATCATAAAGACAATTAAATTTTGGAAAACTGAATCAGCAGCCTTTTGTAAGTAGGCCTCTAATTTGAGAAGGTATAGCTGAATTACATGCTAATATAATTGCCAGTACATGCCAATAAGTATTGTGGGCTCAAATGGTCTTAGAACAAGCAGAAGTAGGACATGCTTCATTATCATTATTGGGTCAGCAGATCCCTGAGTGGAGAGTTACTCATTTTGACTGGCCCTCAGAGGTGTCCACAGGCCTTCAAAGAGCCATTGGTCTGTAGCTTTATTTATGCACAGAAGGTTTATCCAA
Source organism: Homo sapiens (assembly GCF_000001405.40). Lineage (NCBI taxonomy): Eukaryota > Metazoa > Chordata > Mammalia > Primates > Hominidae > Homo > Homo sapiens. The sequence goes on from NC_000002.12 coordinate 53,483,445, forward strand.
GAAAAATCAGGTTCTCAAAAGAAAAAACCAAGATGTGATAAAGCCTGAATTTCCTTCTATTAAACTAAACCATTACACTCCTTGGGTTACACACATGTGGATACGCAATCAGGCACACACTTAGCACTTACTGAACGTCAAGCAGACATTAATTGCATGCTCCAGTGTAAACTTTAGATACACAACGGACTGGATTAATTCTACTACATCTGTGTGCCAAAATAAAAACCAGATTTTCGTCTGAGACCAGAAAGGGGACATTGTTGTCAGAGGCATTCAAACCAGAATGACTCCATCTGGAATAGGGGCTGGGTAAAATGAAGCTGAGACTTACTGGGCTGGATATCCACAAAGTTAGGCATTCTTAGTCAAGGGATGAGGTATGAGGTCAGCACAAGATATAGGTCATAAAGACCCCGCTGATAAGACAGGATGCATTAAAGAAGCGAGCTAAAATCTGCCAAAACCAAGATGGTGACAAAAGTGACCTCTAGTGTCCTCACTGTTCATTATGTACTAATTATAATGCATTAACATGCTAAAAGACACTCCCCCCAGCACCATGACAGTTTACGAAGGCCAAGGCAACATCCAGAAGTTGCCCTATATGGTCTAAAAAGATGAAGAACCCTCAGTTCTGGGAAATCTCCACCCCTTCCCCAGAAAACTCATGAATAATCAACCTTTGTTTAGCATATAATCAAGAAATAACCATAAAAATAGCTAACCAGCAGCCCTCAAGGCTGCTCTGCCTATGGAGTAGCCATTCCTTTGCTTCTTACTTTCTTAATAAACGTTCTTAATAAGCTTTCTTACACTCTACTCTGTGGACTCAACCCAAGTTCTTTCTTGCACAAGATCCAAGAACCCTCTCTTGGGGTCTGGATCAGGACCCCTTTTCGATAACATTATGAAGGATTTTTTTCATTGGCTTTCATTTAAAGCAGTACTTCTTAACACTTAGATTGTGGAAGAATGGCTGAGTGCTTGTTAAAATGCAGATTCTCGGTTTGAATCAGGAGGTCTAGGGTGGGCCCCAAATACATACATTTGTAACAATCTCCAACTGACTTTGATGCAAGAACCAAGGGATTCTGATGTGGCTAGGACAATGCTCTTAGAAACTCTGATTTGAAACATGGGCTCTAATGTACCACACACTAAATTTGATCCCAAAATGACACATGGACATAGTTTAAGAAAGGGTGTTACAGTTAATTTTATGTGTCACCTTGACTAAATTAAGGAGTGGCCAGATGGCTGGTAAAACATTATTTCTGGGTGTGTCTGCGAAGGCGTTCCCAGAAGAGATTAGCATCTGAATCAGTAGAGTAAAGAAGACCCACCCTCATCAATGTGGACAGCTATCATCCAATTCAGTGAGGGCCTGAGTAGAACAAAAATATGGCGGGGGAGGGCACACTCTTCTGGAGCTAGGATATCCATCTTCTCCTGCCCTGGGACGTCAGAGCTCAAGGCTTTCAGGGCTTTGGACTCAAACTTATACGAACACCTCCATTTTCCTCCAACATGTACTCTGTCCCCCACCTCATTCTCAGACCTTTGGCCTCAGACTGGGAGTTACAGCACTGGCTCCCCTGGTTCTCAGGCTTTTAGACTTGGACTGAATTACACCACCAGCCCTCCTGGTTCTCCAGTTTGCAGATGGCAGATTGTGGGGCTTCTCAGCCTCCATAATCTTGTGAGCCAATTCCCATAATAAATCTCATATATATCCTATTGATTCTATTTCTCCAGAGAACCCTGTAGTCAAGGGAAAGAGATATAATGAGACAGTTTCCAAAAATGTTATTTCCAAAGAATAAACCCGAGTCTCTTGGCACATCTGTGCTGCTTCTTCAGTAAAGCACATAAAGTTTTAAAAATGCCTCATTCTGCAAAATGTGACCAGAAGTGTATTTGTACAGAGGCTTAGTGAATCTGTCATTCTTAAATTCTATCATGCACTTTGGGAAAAGGGAGGGCAATTTCTCACTGTCCCCAGTGAGAGAAGGACCTTATTTTATTAAAATAAGAAAACTGGCTGGGAATTCGAAGTGAGAGTGTGTCTGATACTATGTTAATTCACAAGCCCTGAAGTGTTTTAGCAATCCAACACAAGGATAGGGAGTACTTCAGGGAGATGAGTGTTCTTTTTTGTGGAATTCATGCCTTTCCAGCACCCGAAAGCCAGGATGAGATTTTTTCAAGTTCTGTGTTGCTTTTAGGAAACAGACATCCTAAAAATAGATAAATGAGGATTTGCTTGAGTTTGAAAGAGTAACTTTGTGTCTACACTTACAAAGGCCCAAGCTGAGCTAGAGAACAGTACTAGAAGCTTTTCAATAAAGCTAAAAAGGGAAGTACAAATATCTCCTAGGTGAGAACAAGGTTTAAAAAAGAAGTAAAGAAAAAAAAAAAAGTAGAAAAAATCCAGAAAGGCTGAGACAAAGATAAGTTTCTTTGGAGAGTAGCTTTAGCCTTCTTAGTTGGCACTTGCTCTAATAAGGATTTTTTATCTTTAGTTTTCCTACTTCTTCATTGTGGCTGTCATTATCTCGCACTTTGTTCTCTATTTTGGTCAACTAGAAAGAGCTGAGCCTGGGACCAGAAAAACACCTGATTACTATTATTGTTGTGTGCTGAAATGTGTCCCTCTCAAAAAATCACATGTTAAAACCTAACCCCTAGTACTGAGAGGTGAAGCAAAATGACCTCCATTGCTGGTTCAAACCCAGATGCCACACTGGGTTGCGGGAGTGTGCTTGGTTCCAATATTTTGTCCATCTTGGGGTTTTTTTTGGACCGCAGGGATCCCTTCCACTGCCAGTACTGTTGTTGACTTCCATCCCCATGCCCAAGCCCCCGGAAGGCTCCCGCGTGGCCCAAGCCCCCCTCCCCACCACGAGGGGCGCCACTTCCTGCTCCACAGCGCCCTGTCCATCAACCGCCCGAGGGCTGAGGAGTGCCAGGCGCAGCAGGGGACTGGCGGGCAGCTCTGCCCGTGGCCCCAGTGCAGGATCCACTAGGTGAGGCCGGCTGGGCTTCTGAATTGCTGGGGACCTGGAGAACTTTTCTGTCTAGCTAAAGGATTGTAAATGCACCAATCAGCACTTTGTGTCTAGCTCAAGGTTTGTAAATGCACCAATCAGCAATCTGTGTCTAGCTCAAGGTTTGTAAATGCACCAATCAGTGCTCTGTGTCTAACTAATCTAGTGGGGCCTTGGAGAACTTTTGTGTCTAGCTAAAGGATTGTAAATGCACCAATCAGCACTCTGTGTCTACCTCAAGGTTTGTAAATGCACCAATCAGTGCTCTGTGTCTAGCTAACCTAGTAAGAGCTTGGAGAACTTTTGTGTCTAGCTAAAGAATTGTAAATGCACCAGTCAGCACTGTGTGTCTAGCTAGAGGTTTGTAAACGCACCAATCAGCACTCTGTGTCTAGCTAAAAGTTCGTAAATGCACCAATCAGCGCTCTGCGTCTAGCTAATCTGGTGGGGACTTGGAGAACTTTTGTGTCTAGCTAAAGAATTGTAAACGCACCAAAAAGCTCTCTGTAAAACGGACCAATAAGTAGGATGCCGGTGGGGCCAGATAAAGGAATAAAAGCAGGCCATCCGAGCCAGCAGCGATAACCTGCTCTGGTCCCCTTCCACACTGTGGAAGCTTTGTTCTTTTGCTCTTTGCAATAAATCTTGCTGCTGTTCACTCTTTGGGTCCATGCCGCCTTTATGAGCTGTAACACACACCACGAAAGTCTGCAGCTTCACTCCTGAGGCCAGCGAGACCACGAACCCACCAGAAGGAACAAACAACTCCAGACACGCCGCCTTTAAGAGCTGTAACACTCACTGTGAAGGTCTGCAGCTTCACTCCTGAAGTCAGCGAGACCACGAACCCACCAGAAGGAAGAAACTCCGGACACATCTGAACATCTGAAGGAACAAGCTCCGGACACACCATCTTTAAGAACTGTAACACTCACCGCGAGGGTCCGCAGCTTCATTCTTGAAGTCAGTGAGACCAAGAACCCACCAATTCCGGACACGGTACCTTAGAATATGACTGTATTTGGATATAAGGTTATTAAGAGGCAACTAAGTTAAAACTAGGCCTTTAGGGTGGATCCTAATCAAATCCAACTGGTGTTCTTACAAGAAGAGGAAATTTGGACGCAGGGAGCCACACCCAGAGATAAAAGAGACGGTGGGGACACAGTAGAAAGACAGCCCTCTGCAAGCCAAAGGGTGAGGCCTCAGAAAAACCAGACCTGCCAATAATTTTGTCTTGGACTGCTAGCCTCCAGAACTGTGAATAAACAAGTTTGTTGTTTAAGTGCCCAATCTGTGGTATTTTGTTATGGGTAGCCCTGGCAAACTAACCCAATTACCCTGGCCTGGTTACCTACTTCGCTTGTTGTCTCACCTGTAAAACAGAAACAACTGACCCTGCCTACAGAGAGTTGTGGAGGTGAATTGTGATATTTTTGAAAACTACAAAGGGTTATACAAATTTAATCAGTATGATACTTTATTATGAAAAATGTTTCCCTTTTATATCTGAGCCAGATATGATGGCAGGGAGCACTGAACGTCCCCTGTTGTCACTAAGAGTCAGAGGTTGCTATTTGCTACACTACAAAGCTGTGGATCCCCAAGCCCCTGATTTGTTTTTGTTTATTGCCTCAAGTTGTTGACAGCTGAAGACAAGGAAAGATAAATATTAAGTATGAGTCAGAGAAAATATTCTCTAATCCATTCTATTTTCCATAACTCTAAAAGTAATGACAAGTATTCTGGGTTAGGAAAAAAAAAAATCTCGATATTTATTCTTGTTAGCCAGCTAAAATTGAGGAAAGAAAAGCTGAAGACATTGACATTCAGAAAATGAGTTCAGAGGAAACAGGAGTAAGCAAGGAATTTTAATTAGAGCTCTATAATGTACTGAAGAAATAACTATAAAAATGAAAACTATTCCCCCAAAAAGTTGAAATGGAAATAATTGAAATGCATTTGAATTCAATTTAAAGGGCTATAGAGGGCAGCATAGTTAAATAGGGTATAGAAAAAAAACAAAAATGATTCTAAAAATATAAGCAGGCTTTTAGGAAATACTGAAATATTTATTAAAAATAAGCAGACATTACAAAAATAGTACATGTGTGAAGTTAAATATTATATTTTAAATTAAAATGCCCTTTTAGTTCTCAGATGTCTCAGCAATGAGCTCATGAGAGCTAAAATTCTGAAACACTAAAATAATTTCCTGAAATAGAAAAAAAGGCAAAGATTAAAAGAACATTCAGTCTTAGATGATTAGGCAGATGTCTGGATTTTTAGAAACTTCTAGTTTTCTTCTATTACAGTAGTTGGCAAACTTTAATGTGCATCAGAATTACCTGAAGGCTGCTAACCACAAATTGCTAGGCCTCACTCCCAGGTTTTCTGATTTCTGAGGTCTGGAATCAAGCTCAAAAATTTGCATTTCTACCTAGGCATAGTGGCTCACATCTGTAATCCCAGTGCTCTGGAAGGCCGAGGTGGGTTGATTGAGGCTAGTTCAAGACCAACCTGGGCAATAAAGAAAGACTCCATCTGTACAAACAACAACAAAAAACAGAATTTGCTTTTTTTTGTTTTTTGAGGTAGGGTGTTCCTGCTCTGTCATCCAGACTGGGTGCAGTGGTGCAATCATGGTTCACTGCAGCCTCAACCTCCTGGGCTCAAGCAATCCTCCTGCCTCAGCCTCCCACATAGCTGGGACCACAGGTATACACCACCACACCCAGCTAATTGTTTTTCTTTTTTTTTAGTGATAGGGTCTCACTGTGTTGCCCAGGCTGATCTCAAACTCCTGGCTTCAAACAGTCCTCCATCCTGGGCATCCCAAAGTGCTGGGATTACAGACATGAGCCACTGTGCCCAGCCAATAATTTGTATTTCTTTTCTTTTTTTTCTTTTGAGACGGAGTCTCGCTCTGTTGCCCAGTCTGGAGTACAGTGGTGCGATCTCGGCTCACTGCAACCTCTGCCTCCCAGGTTCACATCATTCTCCTGCCTCAGCCTCCCGAGTAGCTGGGACTACAGGCACCCGCCACAGTGCCCGGCTAATGTTTTGTATTTTTAGTAGAGACGGCGTTTCACCGTGTTAGCCAGGATGGTCTCAATCTCCTGACGTTGTGATCCGCCCGCCTAGGCCTCCCAAAGTGCTGGGATTATAGGCGTGAGCCACCGCGCCTGGCCAAGAATTTGTATTTCTAACAAGGTATTACCTTGAATACCTTGTATTCAAGGTAATGCTGAGGCTGCTGGTCTGAAAAGACTTTGAGAACCAGCACGCTAAGATAAAGACCATGTTGGAGCTCCAGTTGAATACAATTGACTGAATATATTAATTTATTTGCACAAAATACTTCTGAGTATTTGCATTTATCTCAACTCTCTCCCATAATACAGCAAGTTTTAGGAACTGGAAAACAAATCAGTAAGAGGCAATTGACCTAAAAAATAAACACAAAAAGCTAAGTGCTGTTTGGGGACAGGAGGCATCAAACAGCAATATGCAAATGCCCAAGAATTGCAGGTATCAGGTATCTTTAAGAAAATAGTAAGGCATAAAACTGAAAGTAGGAGAATTGGTTCAAAGTCTTTAAAAGAAACAGCTAAGCCCCTGATCTCCTTCTATGCCCTAGCAGAAAACCACATGTTTATTATTTGAAGAGATTAAAATATGAAGGATTTGGTAGCAGAGGAACCTGGAAAAGCTTAGGGAGTGCGTTTATGAAAAAGACAGAACAGACAAGGAAAGTGTGGGTTTCACCTGTCCTACCCTATCCTACTGCCCTGGCCTCTTCCCTTGAGCCTCTCCCAAAATGCCAACTAACAAGTGGAAAATTAGAGGCTTCCTCTTTGGTGGAACTAATCAAGCCAAGAGAAAAGACACATAGACACTGACATTAGGGATTCCCCCATGAAATGATGGGATTACTATCCAGTTACCCTACACTGAAGACCAACAAATATGTCCCACATGCATACAAAGGGTTTCCAATCAGTATTGTAGTGTCTCACTCATAAATATGAATTTTAACCAATAGTGATCAGTTTAGAAAATCCATCTAACATGAAGACTGTCAGGTTCCAGCCCAAGCTGGGGTCCAAGGGGAGCTGGTAGATGAGTGACGGGTAGTTGAAAGAACACTCAAGGGATCATAGGCAGTGGGATATGGTTTTATTCTCTCTCTCTCCAACAGTCTTTGTCTCAGCTGCCCACTCCAGCCTCACTCCCTCTCAGCACAAGCTCCACAGCTCCTGCCACCCCCACGCCTGCAGCTGCACTCCCTGGTGCACTCACCGCTTTCTGGCTCCCCTCTGTCTGCCTGCAAAGCAGCTGGCTCCCTCTCACAGAGTTAGCAGTGCAGTTATATTACTCATAGACAACCGTGGGTCAGAGCCAGGTGATGAGCCCACCCGTGACATGGTTACACAACTGTGATTATATAATGCACGGGATTGTGTGCCTGTGCTCTAATCCTGTTGTGTCATGCTGCACCAGATTTTTACCTCAGCCTAGTCTTGATTGAAGCACATCCATTTTCCTTACAAAGACAAAATGTAAAACAAACCAATGGGATAAAAGTACTTAGCAGAAACAAAGGTAAGAGAGGAAAAATCAAAACAATAAGCTAATAACTATAAATAATGTAGTCAAAGGAAAGAAAAAACATCACATTTATAGAAGAAGAAAAGGATGTTATTTTAATTTTTTTAAAGAAACAGTATGAGAACAACAACAAATATTAAGTCATGCTGACAGAAATGAAAGATAAAGCTGAGGAAATTCCCAAGTAAAGTGTAGAAGTAGAGCAAAAAGAGATGGGAAGATTCCTATAAAACAGCAGTGCTCAACTAGGGAGTGATTTTTACATCCCAGGAGTCATTTAGCAATTTCTAAAGACATTTTTGGTTGTCACGATTCAAGATGCGGGGTGGAGGGATAAATAGCTATTACCGTCCGTCCTCTAGTGAGTAGGGGCCAGGAGTGCTGCTAAACATCCTACAATGTACAGGGCAGTCCCCCACAACAAAGAAATTATCTGGCCAAAAATGTCAAGAATATCAAGGATTAGAAATCTCATCATAAGACAATGCAGCCACCCAAATATGAATTTCCCCACCTCCTAAAAATATTCACAAGTGAACAAGGAGAATGAATAAAATTGCACATAATACAAACCAACAACATAAATTGGGGTACAAAAAATACTATGAGCCTTCTCAAAAGAAGACATACAACAGCCCAACAAAAAATGTTCCATTTCACTAATCATTAGAGAAATGCAAATCAAAATTACAATGACATATCATCTCACACCAGTCAGAATGGCTATTATTAAAAAGTCAAAAAATAACAGATGCTGGCAAGGCTACAAAGAAAAGGGAATGCTTATACACTGTTAGTGGGAATGTAAATTAGTTCGGCCACTGTGGAAAGCTGTTTAGAGATTTCTCAAATAACTCAGAGCTACCAATCAACCCAGCAATCCCATTACTGGGTATATACCCAAAGGTAAATAAATAATTCTACCAAAAAGACAAATGCACTCATATGTTCATCATGGTGCTATTTACAAAAGAAAGATAAGGAATAAACAAACCTAGGTGACCATCAGTGGTGGATTGCATAAAGAAAATGTGGTACATATATACCATGGAATACTACAGCCATAAAAATAATGAAATCATGTGCTTTGCAGCAATATGGATGGAGCCGGAGGCCATTATCCTAAGCTAACTAATGCAGGAAGAGAAAACCAAATACTGCATGTTCTCACTTATAAATGGGAGCTAAACATTGAATACACATGGACATAAAGATGAGAACAGATACTGCAGACTACTAGAAGGGGGAAAGTAGAGGGAGCACAGATTGAAAAACTACCTATTGGGTACTATGCTCACTATCTGGGTGATGGGATCTATACCCCAAATCTCAGCATCATGCAATATACTCATGTAACAAACCAGCACATGTGCCCCCTTGATATGGTTTGGCTCTATGTCCCCACCCAAATCTCACTTTGAATTATAATCCTCAAAATCCCCACAGGTCAAGGGTGGGACCAAGTGGAGGTAATTGGATCATGGGGCAGTTGCCCCATGATATTCTTGTGATAGTGAGTGACTTCTCATGAGATCTGATGGTTTTATAAGCGTCTGGCATTTCCCCTACTGGCACTCACTCCATCCTGCCACCGTGTGAAGAAGGTGCCTGCTTCTCCTTTGCCTTCTGCCATGATTGTAAGTTTCCTGAGGCTCCCCCTAGCAATGTGGAACTGGGAGTCAATTAAACCTCTTTGCTTTATAAATTACCTAGTCTCAGGTATTTCTTCATAGCAGTGAGAACAGAATAATACACCCCTGAATCTAAAGTAAAAGCTGAAATGACTGAAAAATACTGTGAACTTCAAGTTGCTTGTAAATAAGGAAATACATGTCCAAATCCAGAGTAGTGAGTCAGGGCAGGGGATAAAGAAGAGGGGAGGGGAGGAGAGGAGAAGTGCCACAGACTAAATATTGTGTCTCTGCCCCACCAAATTCATGTGTTGAAATCCTAACCTCCAAAGTGATTGTATTTGGAGGTGGGGCTTTGGCAAGGTGATTACAGAATGTGGGTAGAGCCTTCATGAGTAGGATTAGTACCCTTATAAAAGAGGTTCTGGAGAGCTCCCTTGCCCCTTCTCCCATGTGAGTTTACAGCAAAAACCAGAAAGCAGGCCCTCACCAGACCCCAAACCTACCAGCACCTTGATCTTAGACTTCACAGCCTCCATAACTGTTAGAAATAAATTTCTATTGTTTATTCCTCACTAGGTCTATGGTATTCTATTATAGCAGCCTGAGCAGACTAAGACAAGAACAGATGGAGCAGGGGAGGAAAGAAGCAGAGAGGAAGGAAACCAATCTACATCTTCAACATTTTGCTCCCAAAGCTACTCAGCTATGTACAGTTTTATCACTTACAAAATCTGCTTTCCCCAAAGCTGTAGGATAATCTAAGTTTTTGCTGCTATATAACAAGGATTCCCTTTCCTCCACTTTCCAATAACATGTTCCTCATGTTCATCCTTTTTTGATTCTTCAGAATTCTCAAAAACACCTTTTTGTATCCTGCTAATGCTTCTTTACCTGAGCATATGGAATTGTCAGATCCAAACTCCAAGTAAACCATTGTTGGGGAAAGAAACCTGGCGCTCCAGGCTTCCAGGACATAGGTGACAGGAACAGCCAATGGGAAAGCCTTTTTGCTAATGGTGACCAGCAACCATAGGTAGCATATAATAGGTAAAAACACGGGTTTAAATCCTGTCTTTGCTATTTATCATCTGAGCGACCTTAAGTAATTCTTTAAGCCTCTCTGAGCTACAGTTTCCTCACGTGATATGAAGATTAAAACACCTACTCATACAGTTGTTTTGAGGGTTAAAAAGATATTGAAAGCAAAGTTCTTAGCACAGTACCTAGCTTGTGGTAATTGTTCTTTAACTGGTGTCTTAAAATAAGTGACCTTCAAAGCTTCACAGCTAGTGTAGCAAAGACTGAATCATTAACGCTACCAACAAATTTAAGGGACAGTTCAGACCAGCTGTTTAGGGAAAGCCCAGGCCCCTGAAGCTGTGCAGAGCCAGAAGTGAGCTGGGCATACATTTACAGAGTAGGTAAAGTATTACTTTGTTCTACATTCAAGACTTTTTGATGTTTATTTGGGAGTGTAATATTCCAGTGTGAGCACATACATGCATACATGTACACAGTCCAAGATAATGCTACCCTAAGAGCAGGGGTACTCAAACTTGAATGTGTATCAGCACCACCTGCAGGGCTTGTTCAAACAAGATGACTGGGCCCTAACCCTAGAGCTTCTGATTCTGCATCTCAGGGCAGGGCCACAGAAAAACTTACATCCTACCAAGTTCCCAGGTGACGTTGCTGCTGCTGGTTCCAGGACCACAGTGTGAGAATTATTGCCCTATAGAATGAGACTCTATAGATGTTTCTTTTTAAATTCCACAGCATCCTACAAAGCAACCTATCAATGGCCACATAAGATTAAAATGGCCTTTAAATAAGCAAGAAGTAGTCAACATTTTTTTTACACAGTGTTCCTTACCAACTGGTTGAAATATAAGCAACCTGAAAGCTCTGAATTGAACCAAGCTACTTTGTAAATTGTAATTCATAATATCCTTTTTCTCTAAAAATTTAGAGCCTCATCCTGAAAAGCCTGCAAAACCTTTACCCATTTTATTAATACCAGCTGTTATGAAACATTACCATAAATCATGCTTCAGTTTTTTGCAAAGTGGTTCAATAAAGTGGGGATAATATAAGTTTGAGACAAATGCTTATTCTCATTGCCCAAGAGGATAAACAAAGGATAAATTACATTCGCGGATTTCGACCTTAGCAGAATTTTGATGGCATTCGATATCTACCAAAGCTAGTCAGCTACAGCCTTCTGGGAAAAAAAATTGATCATGTCTATTTCTTTTTCAGGCTCGCCATGGGATGACTATCAAGTAGACATTTTTTTAACATAAGGTCATATAATTCTTTCATTTTGCTCCATCAACAGAAAAAAAAAAAACTGGTGAAGCAGTCTCAATTTTTAATGTACTTTAAAAGACTTTTAAGCATACTGATTTAACAACTTTTTATTGATTACTCTCTATTTACAAAAATCAAATAGTCACAAGATAGACATGACCTTACCCTCAGGGTACTTAAAATAAAGTACATTCAGAGTGTGTGTATTAGTGTATGCGTGTGTGTTAGTGTATGTATGTGTGTTAGCATATTATGTGTGTATGTCTATAACATGTAGCCCACAGGAAACAGCTATTTCCACACCATTCTATAAAAAACTGTTTACCTCTCTCACTCTGAGCATCAGGCTTGTGAATACACACAGGTGCTGAACCCACTCAGTTTACTTGCCTCTGCATTACATTACATGAAGGAGTGAGTCCGTACTACCAACTCTATAAAAGGCATTCCATTCAGGCTCTTCCTTTTCTCTAACAAAACAATTCTCATGAAGGCCAGTGATCAGTTCCATGTTACTAAATCCAATTTTCATTTTTTCATTGCCCATCTTATTTGATGTTTTCATAGCAATCACTAATGACCACAACTTTCCTCTTGGAATAATTTCTCCCTTTGCCTTTCATATCTCATGTTGCTACTTTCTCTCCTAACTTCTCTGGCTGGTCTCTGTACTGCTTCTCTAAAGGCACATCTTCCTCTGCCTGGACCACCTCCAGGCTTTCCTTAGCTCAATTTCTCCTCAGTCTTTACCGTCTCCCTAAGACTCCTCACACCATAGCATCAATCACTCCCTAAATGCCAATTCTGCCAACTTATATCTCAGTCCATAACCCTCCTCCCAGCTTCATAGCCATATGACCAACACTCATTGCATTATCCTTCCCCTAAAATCTGACCCAGTAGTCTCTACCTAGGTTGCACACAGTCTAGGAGACCTACTTCTCTCTCCCTGCTCCATACACAACGCATCACGTATCTGTAAAGCTTACTTCCTAAGTGGTTTTTGAATTATTTCCTCCCCACCTCCACTGCTACCACCCTAGTCCAAGGCACCACCCACAGTCCCACAGCAGCCAGGTCTACATACCCACTCTGGCTGCCTCCGATATACTCTCCATGATGTGACCAGCATAATCTTTTCAAAGCACAAATCTGGAGATATAACCTCTTATTTAAAACTCTCCACTGGTTTTCCCACTCTTGGAACAAAAGCAAATTCAACACATCTATAAGGCTCTGTAGAGTCTAAAATCTTTTAATTCCCCAATCCCTATTGCTCCACTCCCCATTGCTCCATGGGCTCCAGTCACACCAGCTCCTTTCAGTTCCTTAAATGAACCAGACCCTCATTTGCTGCAGGTGCTATTCACTGTCCCCTGCCCTCAGCCTACTTAGTTAACTCCTGTTCATTCTTCTGCTGTTGGCCTAAAGCCCACCTTCTCAGGGAGGCTTTTCCTGCCCCTCAAGACTATGATCACATAACACCATGTACTTTCCCTAATGGCCCTTATCAAAGTTGTAATTTTACGTTTATTAGTATGATTGTTGAATAATGTCAGTCTCCCACTCCAGACTGTAGGGCAGACTGTAACTATTGTGTCATGTATTATATCTTTAGCACCTGGCACTGCCAAAAGCACAATAAATACTTGTAGAGTAAGTGAGAATAAACAAGGAGTAGCTGAGAGTACATTAATGCAAACTCTGTAATAAATAACATGCAGTCGGCTAACGAATAATATGGACACTAAAGAGGTGTACATACTATCCACTCAAGGAAACCACCAGTCATACAAACGTGCGACTCCTGTGTGTTTCTGGCCTAATTGCCGATTTCTCCTCAGTGGTGTGTTGGTGGAATGCATAGACTGGCAGCTTTGGGAGGATACTTCTCCCCAGAACTTTTTCTCTTATTATCTGATCCCAGGTCATCCACTAATCCAGTTTCTGTCCCTGAGCAGACTGCTCATCCACTAATCCAGGCTCCTCACCTTTTTGTACCAGTTCCTTATGCTTATCAAGGAGAGAAAAGACACCCTTCAGCATGGTAGGCAGGGCTCTTCACAATCTAGCAACCCCTGTTCAGCATCTCCCCTCTCCAGCCACTCCCACACCTAAGACATGGTGTTCCAGCCCACTCATCTCTAAGTCCTCCAAACGTGCCACACTTGCTCTCCTCCCAGCCTTTGCCCAGGCTGTTACTCTGCCCAGGACATTCTTCCCAATCCCCACTCTCCACCCTTCATACCTCTGCTTGGCTGTCACCTCCTTTTAACAAACTTTGCTGTTATCCAACAAGGCTTGATTGGGTGTTTCTCCCTGGTGGGTCCTCCCTGATCTTCCCTGATCATAGCATGCTTCACACTGAAGTGTCATGGCCTGTGTACTTTTAGGTCTTCCTCACTAGTCCTTGAAAGTAGGGGCTATGTCTTTTTCAGAGTTATATCCTTGAAGTGTAGCATGATGCTAGAAGCCAGTGGGTAACAAATACTTACAAACGAATAGAGAGAAACCTCGTCTTCTACTTATGCAGCAACTCAGTGTTCAGCCTGTACTATCATTCAGCAAATCTAGCTATTAATAGTTCTTGTTCTATTTACTTCCACACAGATTCAGAACCATTGCAGAGATACTGAGATGCATTTCTTCCCTAACACTCATTCTGCAAAAATGCCTACTAGAAAATAACACCTTCTGTGCATTACTGAGTACAGGGCACTGTGTAGGTTTCTCTAGGTTCCGACGGGAAGAAAATAACTTTTCCAGAATGAGTACAGTTTAAAACAATTCCCTCCCCACTAGTCCAAAGGCTTGCGCTTTATTACAGAGATTTCCAAGCATGTTACAACACCACTATCCAGGATATTCATTGGTATTATGCACAAAAAAGTGGTCCAAACTAAAATATGTTTGGGAAACATTGGGCTAAACAAACTCTGGTATTTTTACTGGAGGACTTCTCAGAGTCATTAACAAGTTAATCCACATCATGAATTTCTAAGGAGTATATGGTTCGCAGAGTTTCCCAAACATATTAAACCACAGAGCTCCACTCAACCATCGTTTTGTGGATCATATTTAGGGACTAGTCTTCCATGGAACTCACATGGGGAAATGCTGGTTTATGAATTCTTTTTCCATCTCATAATAAATATTCCCTCATCTACAGTTAGAAACTGATTGCTGCCTTACATGGTGCTATACTGTTCATCAATGTTGCATTCATTCATACATGGATCATATAAAGTGACTACCCATAGTCCCCTGGTTTGTGCAAGAATTCACACAGCTGACTAGATTCTGTTTGGACACAGCTCTGCCTTTGAGAGATCTTTTCCACAAGGCAGAATAAACAAATGCCCATGATGTAATCCACTAGACACAGTGTGCCAAAGAAATAGGCTATGTCCTGCTGCCAAAATAAACTCCAAAAGTATGGAATACATGTTTCCCATCTACCCCTTCCAGGATACAAAGGTAAACTTTTCTTTTCTGTTTTCATTCTGAACATTGAAATGGCCCAGCTGGTTCTAAAGCTTTCCTGGGACCTCCCTGACACGCACCCCTAACACACATACCTCACACACAATTTAATTGAAGTAAATCTTCTAGAAAACTCCAAGTCTCTCGCAACCATCCACTTAAAATATATAATTTCTAAAGGACAGCCAGACTATTACCCTCTAAAAAACCATTTTCACAAATCCGGTATGACTAAAATAAGGGGCAGACATGGAATCCACAGAACATGGGCTTCACAAGGGACCCCAACATGTGATCTAACAGTGACAGCAGAAGAGGAGACTGCCCCCATAAACAGGCCAAAACCCTCTGCTACCCAGACCAACTTCCCCATGACTATGCTGGTGTTCACAGTGATAAGGCCACTATACAGGACTTGCAGGACCCTGTATTCTACTGGATTTACAATAACAGTGCTATGTTTCCTGCTACACATCAGTAAGGCTTCAAAACTGAGAGCTGGGAAAAGTGAAATCCATTCTGGGTGTTAAACCCACTGAATTACCTGCTACTTACTATTCCTAACAGCATGTGAGCTGATCTAGTTGTTCAGTTGTGACCCTAGAAAATGTGTTCAATTGTATGAGCCTCAAAGCTATGTGTAGCCAAGTTTGGCCTGTTTGGCTTCGGGGAAAAGAGAGGGAGGCAGGAAGAAATCCGGCCAACATTTATTGAGTGCTTACTTTTGTCTTGATCAATGTGGGATGAGGAAGCGGTGAAAGGTGGGAAATGTAAGGACATGCGGTTCTTCCCTTGAGTCACCCGCTCTCTTAGGATGGGGATTGGCCTCTACACAAACAACGCTGACAGCAGAGGAGAGCAAAGACAGGAGGGAAGGGCAGGCAAGGCCCTGCAAAGCCAGAAAGAAAGGCAGAGACAGGACAGCAGAGGACTGTGATAACAAATGAGCCACTCAATATCAGTAAAGAAATGACCTTATCCTTGATGCTGCTCATTCAAGGCAAATTTTATATTCAGCCACTTTGTTCTAGGCAGACGCTTGCTTGCACATTCTAAGTAACAACAAACCTCCAATGCCTCTTTTGACCCTTAACTTTTAAAATTGCTGCTGTCGACACTGAGGGGCTATCAGTGAGCCATAGTATTCGTATGTCTTGTCTACAACCAGAACCAAATGGTTTCAAAAAAAATGGAGAGATTTCTCACCCCATCCCTGCCAACTGCTGGGTAACCAAACCCCTCCAACTTACTTTCATGTTATCCTCAAGAATAATGATAGATGAGGCTAAGAGAGACGTTGAAGGTAAACAAGACTCCTGTAGTCCTTTTGGTTCATTCCTTCAACAATATTCATATTAGCAGACAGAAAGATGAACAAGACATCCTCAAGGAGCTCCCAGTCTAACAGGGGAAGAGGACACACAAACAGATCATCAAAATAAGAGAGTAACAATGGCCAGCATCGAGTGCTGCCATGTGCTGGCCTACATATATAACTTGTTTTATCACCAGACTTTCATCATTCACATTTTATAAATGAGAAAACTTTGGCATAGATGGGAAACTGCTGGAATTCAAACCAAGGAAGTCTCCAGAGGCACGCTTCTACATGGCCCCCTTGCGCTCCAATCCCACACTCCCCACTTCTGCATGCACCTTCTGCCACCTCCTCCCAGCAAATCTCCCGGAACTGCATATACCTTTTTCCTTTTCTTTGCCCCTGATTGCCATAAACCCACCTAGATGGCTATAAGAGGGAACAGTGAGGTTGTGTTATGTGACTGGGTTTGGTGCTATGGGTACAACACAGCTGCTTGTCTTCTTCACTTTTTTAAAAACTCAGACCTTGGACCGTGGCCAGTGCAAACCATGCCTGACTCAGTAGAGCCAGAAATACAAGAACAAATAGAGTGAAAACCTTTAGATGTAGCTGTAAGCCATTTATCAAGAGTGAGAGGAGGAACATGTCAGTTAATAATATCAAGACCTTGAATTCACTTACGTTTTGCCCCAAAGTATTGTCGTATGCCATACACAAATATACTCACTCTGGTCTTCAAAAATAGGAGAAGGGAGCCTTGGCTTTCACTTCTGAATGAATGGATTCTAAGGCTATTTTAACGTTTACCTGGGTAAACTGACAGTCTAATTAAAACTACTATTTACTTTGGTGTACGACTTTCTACCTTCCCAAAATTCCTAACACACACTTCATTTCACACCCACAAAAATCTCATGAAGCAGATCTTACCACATTTCATAGCTAAGGAAGCTGAAGTTTCGAGATTTTTCAAGACAAAAACAAAAATTACTTAAATATGCTTTTTCTACAAAACATGATTCTATAAAACATAATTTTTCTACAAAACAGTTACCTTGATTTGCAAAACAAACTATTAGAGTTTACAGGCCAACACTGAGAGAAACCATTTTTTTGGAACTGTTTAAAAAAATGAAACAACCACACATCTTCTCAACCTAAGTAGCTTTTAAGACTGCTTAATAGCAATCACTCCAGTGGGCTTCCTAACCTCACATTTTAGCCCCGTTCACAGTGGGCTTCCTGGTGTTGAAAAGAAACACTGCATCTTAATTTCTGCATAATTGTGACCTGACATTTGACTGGTTGTACTATTTCTACTTGCAGCTGTAGACGTTTGGGTTTAAAGTGAAACAAACCACTTGATATACTGAAGAGTTTAAATTCTCCAACTGCTAAAGCTAAGAGCTTATCCACCTAGACCTGTGGCCTACCAATTCTCACAGTTGAAAACACTTGAGGAAAAACCCTCTCTTGAGGGGGAAAAAAAAAAAAAACTTCATGATTCAACTGTAAAGCTGGGTGGTCACTAAATGCACTGAGGGCTTCCATGACAGTTTCACACCTAAATAATGTAGGGTAAAGGAGGAGAGGAAAGACCTATTTAACTCGTAGCTCTTCCTCCCAGCAGAGCCACATCACATGGCAAAAGCTGCATGGACTTTGAAATCTAACATAACTCCCCTGCTTAACAACTTTTCGGCCTCCTCAACTATTAAATATTACAAGAAAAACAATACCCACCAAAGAAGTTGTTGGGGGTAACCATCTCCTAGAGCCGCCCTAACAAGGTACCACAAACTGGGTGACTTAAACAACAGATTTATTGTCTCCCAGTTCTGGAGGCTGAAAGTCTGAGATCCAGGTGTGGACAGGTTGGTTATTCCTGTGGGCTGTTCGAGGAGGCTGTGTTCCAGGTCTTTCTCTTTGGTTTGTAAATGTCCATCTTCATGTTCACATGGTGTTCTTTTTTCTGTGTGTGTGATGGAGTCTCGCTCTGTCGCCCAGGCTGGAGTGCAGTGGTGCAATCTCAGCTCACTGCAACCTACGCCTCCCACGTTCAAGTGATTCTCCTGCCTCAGCCACCAAAGTAGCTGGGACTACAGATGCGTGCCACCATGTCCAGCTAATTTTTATATTTTTGGTAGAGATGGGGTTTCACCATGTTGGCCAGGCTGGTCTTAAACTCCTGACCTCGTGATCCACCCACCTCGGCCTCTCAAAGTGCTGGGATTACAGACGTGAGCCACTGCACCCAGCCCACATGGTGTTGTTTCTGTAAGCTCATGGGTATCTAAATCTCCCCATTTTATAAGGACACCAGTCACATTGGATTAGAGTCCACCCAATGACCTCTTTTTAACTTGACTTACCTCTTAACCTCATGAAGACTATCTCCAAATAAAGTCATATTCCAAGGTACTGGGGTAAGGATGTCAACATATGAATTGGGACTGGGAAAATGGGAAACTGAGAGAAACATACTTCAACCCATGAAATCGGGAGTTTTTTTTTTATTATTATTATACTTTAAGTTTTAGGGTACATGTGCACAACGTGCAGGTTTGTTACATATGTATACATGTGCCATGTTGGTGTGCTGCACCCATTAACTTCTCATTTACATTAGGTATATCTCCTAAAGCTATCCCTCCCCCCTCCCCCGACACCACAACAGGCCCCGGTGTGTGATGTTCCCCTTCCTGTGTCCATGTGTCCTCATTGTTCAATTCCCACCTATAAGTGAGAACATGGGGTGTTTGGTTTTTTGTCCTTGCGATAGTTTGCTGAGAATGATGATTTCCAGCTTCATCCATGTCCCTACAAAGGACATGAACTCATAGAAATTGGGGGATTTTTAAAGCCCCTGACAAAATAGACATTCAAAAATTGGCACCCTTCTTTCCAGCCTGGCGTTGCCATTGCCTGCCATATGACTTTGGGTAAGGTATGTACCTCTCTCAAGCATAAGCTCCATATCTATAAAATGAGGAGGCTGGCATTATGGATTCTAAAGGCCTCTTAACTAATGCTCTCTGCTTCTTCACCCTGTTGATGCCTTTTCTTTTCCAACACCTATGTTTTGCATTTTAGAATTATCAGAACAGCCTTCTGCCAGAACAGGCTGGGTTTTTCTTCTGTCTTCCTTCCATCTTTCTATTTTTTTCTACAAGTATCTCTACCAAATAGCTCTGAAAGAATTTTTAATGATATCATAGCATAGCTATACTTTATGCACATTAAGGGAAAAGATGGACCTCATTAGCTGAGTTGATTCCCTACCTCCCCCACTTCAATTCTTGGGGTAAAAAAAAGCAGTCTTAAGGGTTTTTAGACATGCTTACGAAATCCAAAATATCCAATCCAATCCTGGGAAGCAGGCTAAAATACACTTGACCTTCCCTGGAAGTGGGGTAAGGAAGCATGTAATGTTCCACGGAAAGTAAACCACTAGAAGAAAAACACAATTTTAAGATATCAAGGAGACTTAGGGCTCCTTTGTCATCCTCATTTATTCAAAAGAGGATTTTAGAGTCCAAAGGAATGAAGTTTTTTGCCTGATTGATCAATGAATCCACACAGTCAGAAGTGATACCTAGTAATACAGTGATCTCACTTTAATTTAAAAGGGGAGAGTGTACCCTGTCTCGTGGTTGCTTTTACTGTAACAGAAACAGCATCAGACATGATCTCTAGAACTGTAATTGTGCCAATGTGATTGTGGGATTATAGGTGACATTGGGCACACTGCTACATTTTTTTACATCTCATTTTCCATATAGCCAAAGAGGTTATAATAATACTGACCTCCTCTTGGGACTATTAGAGGAATCAAAAGTATAATAAAATGTGTCAAAGAACTTTCAAAGCATAAAGCCTTTTACAAATATAAAATGCTTTCTTATTAGCTATGCACATATCTACCTTTTGCCAGTTAAATGAGGTCAGGCTGGCTCCCCACAGGCTTGCGCCCCACTTTAAATGGAAATTAAAACATACCCTGCCCATGGGTTCACACTCCAATCACCTACACCGGCTTCTTTTGAACATCATTAAGCAGACAACTTGAAATGTATCATTCTTTCTTTTGAAACCTGCTCATCACCTGACCATCCAGAATAGCACCTCAGGAACAAAAGGTTTAAAACATGAACAAAATCTTCCAAAACCCAAGGTAATTTTAACAGAAGCCAGGGAATACTTGATATATATACCCTCTCCTCTCTCTTGAAACTTAAATGACAAGTGCCCAACTACGCATGCTGAAAAGAAGACTTTGCTTTGAAATATTCCCCAGGGACTAATGTCTTCATACAAAACAAGGCCAGAACATGCCATGATTTGAAAACATTTACAGTTGGCTTTGAGGAGAGCCGGTCTTGTTGTTGAGACAGCACTGGTGTAATAGAAAAAGCAGGGGCCTGGGAGCTAATTATCTTAGTGCTAGGCCTTGGCTTTGCCATTTTCTCAGACCACTTACTTATTTTGAGCCCCCTGAAGTCATGTAATGTAGCTCTGCCGCAATATCATTGCAAGGATTAAGCTGCATACACTCAAACTCAGCAAAGGATTAAATTGCATACACCTAAACTCAGTGGACTTCAGACGTTCACTGATTTAGATTTAGAGTGGACCTGAGCAGTCTCGAGTTTTTAAAAGAACCCCAGACAATTCTTATGCAGCCAGAAAAAAAACAAACAAACAAACAAAAAAAAAACATTGCCAAGGAAGCTGGCTACGCCTCATCAGCCTCAGATGGTGAGGAATGGGAGGGAGGCAGGGAACAGAGACCAAGTCCCAGCAGCCTACCAGCGTCCCAGCTCACTGTCTCCTCAGGCTCTCTCAAGCCCCTCAATTCTAGAGAGGGCCACCTTTACAGGTACAGCTTTCTCTTCACTCTGGATAACCACTCAGAACCGTGCATATCCTGGCTCTTGTCCACTTAGAATAGACCAGCAGATGTTAAAGCTCAAGCTGCATCAAACACTTCCTTTAGCACAATAGTATTCTCCCTGCCAAGCTTTCTTATCCTCCCTCACAACCCCCAGGTTCCCAAGATATACATGAAAAAGAACCCCCATCTCCAGGCCTGACTTTGGACTATTTACCTGCATGCAAACACTTTCCCAACTCTAAGTCTTCCCACCCAGTTCTCTCTACCAGCAAGCCCTTACCATCCGTCAAAACCCTACCTGTCCTTGAAGGTCCAGATTAAATGAAGCCTTCTAAGCTTTTTCCCCCCAGTGGAAAAAGTGTTACCTCCTTTTTTCCACTTGACCTTAAGATCGAGGACTACCTTTTTTAATCTTTGTGCCTTTGGGGCAACTAGCACAGTGATATGCACATGAGAGTTGCTTAATAAAGATTTGCTCAGTTTGCAAATTATGAGACATATTAAAACAAGAAAAGTCTCATTGCAATGGGAGGCAGCTATAGAGGAAGAGAGAAAAAAGCTAAATAAGAAAAAAAGAAGGTGCCACCCCCATTCTCCCAGTTATAGTCAGCAATTACCTCAATTATCTCTAGATTATGCACAATGAGGATTCACTCATTTCAAAAATTAAAATTTCATCTCCAAATCATGTTGACCAAATTAAGACATATGAGGCATAAAAATAGCCTGTTTACAAAGTTCGTTTTTTTGTTTTGTGTACAAAGCTCATTGTCCTACTCCATGCAACCTGATATTAAGCAGGACTTTAACCATCAGATGATGTTTATGAGTGAACATATCTAAGTCAATACTGTAAGTGTGCACAATTTTAATCCATATGTTTACCTAATTCTCATGCTCACACGGATGGTTAAATACTAAGTACATCAGGACCCCAGGAAACAGCCCATGGTTGTGCTGGACCCCTACTAACTTCAATAGGGATGGCACCAGTTTCAAAAGGACAAATAGGAGACCAAGAGCCAGCAAACAAGGCATGGGGTTTATTGAGGGAAACTTACATATGGGAATGGCCCAGAGGTGGTAGGCTGGACAGGAGAACTGCCATTCTGCAGAAAACATGCAGATTATATAGCATTTTTACTTAACACCCTCCCCTAACAACCTCCACCTGGCAATTTTCATTTACCCAAAAACAAAAGGCCTCAATCCCCTGTACAGCCCACATTCCACAGGACTGTCCAAAGGCTTAGGCGTTCCTCATCAGTAAAGAATGACCCTCTGGGTTAGCCACTCCTGGATTCCTCAGCTCAAAACTCTAAACACACATTCCAGTGTGTCTGCCATAAAGGGTCATTCTCAGCGTAGGCTTAAGTTATATACTGAATTGGCGTAGGCCATGACCTTAAGTTAAATTATTGCTGTCAGGTGCATCTGCCATACAACCACCTCAAACTGAATTGCCAAGGGAAAAAGGTCAAGCCATTCATTAATTCAGCAAATCTGCATTTAGCACCTACCATGTACCAGCATAATCATGAATCACTGCAGGAGTGGGGCCGCCATCTAAGAGAAGCATCCTGATCGTGACCAAGGTGTTCAAGGTCATGGCCTACATCAATTCAGTACATACAACCATGAAGTCGTTAGGTAAGTATTCACCAACATTTTTCAGATATATGAGGCTTATTTTCTGTTACAAACATATGATGGAAGCAAGTCTCTCGATAAATTTGGCCACACGCATACTAACATTTATCATCAAGTAATCACAAAATCTTCCACACACTCTGCTCTATCTGCTCACTGACATCCCGTGGGTTCATCATTTTAGGTAATCCAATGTGGCTTGAAAGATTCACCTGTTATGAATGAAACACTTATCTGCAGGGGTTGACAAACTTCTATCCATGAACCAAAGACCAGCCCTGCCTGTACATATTGTCCATGGCTGCTTTCATGGGACAAGGCAGAATTGAGTAATTGGAAAAGAGACCATTTGACTGGCACAGCATAAAATATTAACTATCCTATCCCTTATTGAAAAAGACTGCAATCTTGTACATTCTAGTAAAAGAAGGGACCGGGAATGGACATTTGGTTGGCCAACCAGCAATGCTTGCTACACAGATCACCTAATCATCCCACCTTGTCTCAATCGCATTTATTGTTATTGTTAAAAACTGCAACCATAAACATCATAAGGCAATGGAAATAATTCCTGATCATTACACAGCATAGTTTTACTTTTAAAAAGGTTTTTTTTTCCACATTTACAAAAATCTGCTTTCTTTCCTTACTGCAATCTTTTGAGGCAGAGGTTCTCTGATAGATGAGGAAACTGAGTGCAGGAGTGGCTGAGTGACTTGCCTAAAGTTGTGAAGTTGGTTAGTAGCAGAGCTGGAATGACCTGATTCTAATAACTGCTCCTGTGTGGCCGGGGCATGAGTAAGTCACGACAAAGCTCTCAGCCCAGACCTCTTTCTATTGGCTTTTTGTCCAAATGCTAAAATGGTTACTCTTCCAAGTCCTGGGGCCTTGGCATCTTGACAGATGAGTTAGAATGTGTGATCTGGGTCCAGCATGTCCTTCAGGCTTCCCACACTGTCTCTGGTCACAGGTGATGAGGCATCAGATAATGAGATCTCCCTAGAGGGCTCGCTAGATTGTTATACCTTATTTGTAAAAGGGTACAGAGTATCTTTAAAGAATTTTAACTGATTCATACTTCTTTAATAACACTAATTTCACCAAAAAGAGCCCTTTACATACGTCAATTAGGCTAATAAACAAGTCACTAATTTCACCTGTTATACCTCATTCCTAACATCTATTATTCTAATCAGCAAATCCTCTAGGGTTGATCAAAAATAAGTATAGCAGAAGTCCCCAGTAGCCCCATCTGGAGTATGGCTTTTTCTGATTAATTGTTAGCCGGACACTCCTGGAGCATGAACTTCTGATTAGGGCCACTGGTTTCCCCCAAACATACAGCTTAAACTCACACACATTCTTACTGTTATCCAATCTACACTAAAGTATGTAAAGTGAATTACAGACACTGTAACACACTGACATCAACATTTACAGTAAAACATGTTATAATATTCTCAAGTCACCAGGACTTGGTTCTAGCCACATTTGTAATTCCTCTATGTGCAGGCATTTTACTGAATCACAGCTTCAAATACCTTCTGATAGCTTCTATCAGTTCTCTAAAATTCAGTCCCACTTACTGAAAATGTAATGTAACTAATGCACAGCATCCCTAATTATAAAGCAGGGCTGACCATGGAAAAGGCATCGGACTCTTTTGCTACTGTAGTTTTAAACAAATTTACACTTCAGGCCAGGCATGGTGGCTCATGCCTGGAATCCCAACACTTTGGGAGGCCGAGGCAGGCAGATCACTTGAGGCCAGGAGTTCAAGACCAGCCTGGCCAACATGGTGAAACCCTGTCTCTACTAAAAATACAAAAATTAGCCAGGCGTGGTAGCATGTGCCTGTAGTCCCAGCTACTTGGGAGGCTGAGACATAAGAAGCTCGAACCCAGGAGGTGGAGGTTGCAGTGAGCCAAGATTGCACCACTGCACTCCAGCTTGGGTGACAGAATGAGACTGTCTCAAAAATAAATACACTTCAATCCCCCATGGATGATAAAGGAATTTGCCTCATGTATTAAGTCCTGAACCACAAACAGGAATATGCCTCCTTATTACATTTCGACCAGGGCGTATTTAGAGCTAGTGTCAGTAAGTACTTTTCTTTGCAAATAGGCCAGTAGGTTTTCCGAAGGGCAGAAAAAAAAATTTCTGCATTAATAAAAACAAAATAAAGAAGTTAATTCTTAAATATCACTGTTAAGAAACATGGAATTAAAACAAGAAGGTTAATATTCTAAGTCTCACTTTCTTATCTCGGGATTCTATTAATTTCACTTTTCCCATTTACCATGAACTAAATATGTGGCTTTTTAAAAAATTCCAGAAACAATATTCCCAGTCCTTTCTAATTAGAAGCCTCCAAAGTAAAATGAGAACAGTGGGAAAGTCTCTTCCTCATTTCAGCAAGCCACTGCTCACTGAGACTCCCCTGTGGTGAGACTGGGTCATTAGAAAGGAAAGAGGTTTAACTGACTCAGTTCCACACGCTTAACAGGAAGCTCCAGGAAGGCCTCAGGAAACTTACAATCATGGCAGAAAGGGAAGCAGGCACCTTCTTCACAAGGAGGCAGGAAAGAGAATAAATGTGAGTACAGGAAAAACTGCCACTTTTAAACCCATCAGATCTAGTGAGACTCACTATCACGAGAATAGCATGGGGGAAACCACCCCCATAATCCAATCACTTTCCTCCCTCGACTCGGGGGGATTACAACTCGAGATGACATTTAGGTGAGGACACAGAGCCAAACCACATCACCAAAGATCCTAAAATGGGCTGCTCTAAAGAATATCCCCATACCCAAGAAGCCACGCTCCCACCCTACTCCCAACAAAGGTAGCAAATGTTTGGTTCATTCATTAGGATTAATTTCTTGTAATACAGCCCCCCCCTTTTTTTTTTTTTTTTTATTTGAGATGGAGTCTTGCTCTGTAGCCCTGGCTGGAGTGCAGTGGCGTGATCTCGGCTCACTGCAAGCTCCGCCTCCCGGGTTCACGCCATTCTCCTGCCTCAGCCTCCCAAGTAGCTGGGAATACAGGCGCCCGCCACCACGCCTGGCTAATATTTTTGTATTTTTTGTTTAGTAGAGACGGGGTTTCACTGTGTTAGCCAGCGTGGTCTCGATCTCCCGACGTCGTGATACGCCCGCCTCGGCCTCCCAAAGTGCTGGGATTACAGGCGTGAGCCAGCGCGCTCGGCCTCTTGTAATACAGCGCTTCTCATTGAAAATACAAGGGAGATAATTTTTTACCTAGAATTTTCCATGTTTCCCATCGGCCAGTAAGGAAGACATGCTGCAGTAGTCAAAGCATTGTTTTAAAATATGTTGATACTCACATATAAATAGACGAGAAATAACAAAGCCAAGTGTCAATTTCCCAGCTCTAAATTTGCACTTAATACTGCACAAAATTCCACTCTGTTCCTTTTGCTGACACTGAAAATGAAATCCACAGACAGAACACAAACAGACGGAGTCCTAGGCATTATTTCTGCAGCCACATCTCAGCGGACTTCCAATTGAGAGATGCTTTTAAAATGCCCTTGAAGGAGAGACCCCCCACCAAGAGATCAGAGGTTTTTGTTTGTTTTCCTCCGGCTACGCCACTGCCTCAGGCATGCACCTAATGGTCTCTTAAGTGATCATTAGGAGCCTTGTTAAAATTCCTCTAGCACTTTTAGCAATTAGTCATTAATTGGAGTTGCCACTTCAGACCCTTCTTAATTGCTACTCCTGAGAGAGGAGCTCTGTGGGGACAAGTGGGCGAAGCAGGTGACTTCCTGCAGTGGGTCATTCAGTAGAAAACATGGCGTCCTGTTTTCCTGCCGCTGCATCTCCAGTACTCTTACCTTAGTCCAGGTCATCCTACCCCGGCCACACAAGCCATGCCTGCACAATAAGAAACTTGCTTTAACAAATACTCTGGAGCCTGTCCTTGGGTTCGTTGTTGTTATTGTTGTTATATTATAATAACAAGAGCATTTAAAGTACTATACAGTTTACAAAGAACTTCATACATACGATCTTATATAATTTCAACACCATTTTACAGATGAGTAAACTGAGACTCAAGATGGTGAAGAGACTGGCCCAAACCCACACAACTTGTAAGTTGCCAGCATGCACCCAGCCAGCTCCACAGCCCCAGGCTGGCCAGCTTCAAAGCCAGTGCTCTGTTCACCTCGTTGCACTGCTTCCCAGCAAAAAGGCCCCCTGCTGAGTACAGTCAGCTGTCTCCAGATTTTGAGCATCTTTAGAGACACGGTCCAGATACACTGATCTGCCACTTCTCTAGAGATCGATAGCCTGCAGTTATGGGACTGCACCAATGTTCTTCATAGGTAGAACAAAGAGCTCATTTTTGTTTAGTGAAAAATCTTGATGGACTCTCACAAATGAAGGATGGATGCCCAGGGAGCATGCTCTGGCTGAGCTGAAAGGAACTAAGGAAAGGAGAAGAGAAGAAAGGTAGGATTCAATATCCAAACACATAATACAAAACGAGCCCCAGAGAGAAGAGCTGAGAGAAAGATAGTTCAGCCTCCGTGCAGCAGAGGATAAATAAACGCTATTGGGGTGAGAATAGCTTAGAGATTTAAAGAACAGATATTAATCAGTTTTAAGTTGTTTGCTTTTCTGTGATGGGATACTATCCCCAGCACCAGACTATGGTAAGGTAAGAGAGGTGCCTAGGGGCCAGGCACGGTGGCTCATGCCTGTAATCCCAGCGCTTTGGGAGGCCGAGGCAGGTGGATCACTTGAGGTCAGGAGTTGGAGACCAGCCTGGCCAACATGGCGAAACCCTGTCCCCACAAAAAAAATACAAAAATTATCCAGGCATGGTGGTAGGCGCCTATAATCTCAACTACTTGGGAGGCTGAGGCAGGAGAATTGCTTGAACCCGGGAGGTGGAGGTTGCAGTGAGCCAAGATCACACCACTGCATGCCAGCATGGGCAACAAGAGCGAAACTATGTCTCAAAAAAAAAAAAAAAGAGTAGTACCTAGGCTGCAAAATTTTAGGAGGTGCTCACTCTTAAGGTTGTACGGTACTTGCCTCACCCTGGTCCTAGCTGGGTCATCCCCCGCCGGGCCTCAAAGCTTAGGTAAAGTCTGAAATACACACAGCCCTGTGGAGGCAATATTTTGAGAGCGAGAAAGAATTAGAGCAGTAACCAGCACCAAGTGATAAGATTTATAATAGGATTATATACTGTTTGGTATATACTTAATTTGGTAATATGAATCATAAACTGAAATAATTAAACAAAGAGAGAAAAGCCAGAACAAAAAATCACTGGGAAAATATATGCCCCTTCCCCAGGAATTCCCAGAGATGTGAAGCGGGACACTAGGTGTCCCACTACTTGTAGTCTGGGGATTACAGACAAATGTAACAGGTTGAGCCTGGTCACCTGGAGAATCTCAGCAATTGGGCCACAGTTCCATCTGTGGCTTCGTTACACCTATGATGTCGTTGTTTGCTCACAAATGAATACCTCTTTTCTATTTAGCAAGTTTCCTAGATGCCTTATTACATGTATGGAGCAGTAAAGTTGTTTTTGTCTCTCAGTCTACAGCATCTATCCACTTGCAAGGAGGGGTGGTTTGGGAAGAATTCTAATAATGGGGAAAGGACCTCTGCAGGGGGCTTGTCCTTCTCCAGCACCTTACTGTCCCTACTCACCTATGACCAGAGGCAGTATGGGAAGCCTGAAGGACATGCTGCACCCAGATCACACATTCTAACTCATCTGTCAAGATGCCAAGGCCCCAGGACTTGGAAGAGTAACCATTTTAGCATTTGGACAAAAAGCCTTGTGGTCCAATAGAAAGAGGTCTGGGCTGAGAGCTTTGTCATGACTTACTCATGCCCCGGCCACACAGGAGCAGTTATTAGAATCAGGTCATTCCAGCTCTGCTACTAACCAACTTCACAACTTTAGGCAAGTCACTCAGCCACTCCTGCACGCAGTTTCCTCGTCTATCAGAGAACCTCTGCCTCAAAAGATTGCAGTAAGGAAAGAAAGCAGATTTTTGTAAATGTGAAAAAATGTGGAAAAAAAAACCTTTAAAAAGTAAAACAATCTGTGATAATGATCAGGGATTATTTCCATTGCCTTATGATGTTTATGGTTGCAGTTTTTAACAATAACAGTAAATGTTATGACTGAGGCAATGAGACATGATTAGGTAATCTGCATAGCAAGCACTGCTGGTTGGCCAACCAAACGTCCATTGCCAGACTCTTTCTTCTTCCTTGTCTGGCTTCATTACAGAGAATGGAAAAGCTACAGTCTCACTTTCCTAAACACACAGACAGCTAGGGGTAACCACATGACATAGTTCTGACCAATAAGTAAGAAAGAGTCTTCTGCAGCATTTCTGATCAGGTTTATTCTTTGCTAATGAAAAAGAAATCAATGTAAATGGCATCCTCTCTTTTTCCTGCACCGAAGGACATGATGCTTAGAGCATGGAAGTCATCTAATAACTTGAAAGGCCAAGAAAGTTAGTTCTCATTGAACTGCTGAATCAACATCTTCAGTTCCCTATCTATCTCCAGACTGGTTCTCATATAAGAAAACAAACCCCTATGTTCAACTTTTGTTAGTTACCTGCAGCTAAAAGCATTCCTGACTGATATAACAACATCTTGACTGATATAACAATATCCTATCTATTTTGTCTTATAGAAATTTCTCTCCTAGTGATCTTTATGAAGAGTTTAACTCAAAGAGAAAGGAGGAAATTTTTTCCTCCAAAGGCCCAAAGCAATAAAGAAATGATCAAGAAAAATGGGTGAATTTCCTCTGCAAAGTAAGTTCGAATATCACTATGATATCAGGCCACTGGATCTCCCCATGTTCATACATTTGTCTTGCCAAGAGACCTAGCCTATAACGAAGCCTTCGCTACCTACCCTACAGGGTTCTAAGGATCAAAAGACATAATGGTTGTTAAAGCTCTGTATAGACTATAAAATGCCTCGTAAAGGCTGAGTTCCTGAGGAGCCTATGCTTGGTGCTGTTTTTGGTGCTGTTCAAGATCTGTTTCTATTTATACCTCTGTGCTGCTGAATCTCATTGCTGTTTTCATCCCCTGTGTCTCCAAAGAGCTCTTGGTCTTTATTTCTAGCTACTTCCTAAACATCTTCACCTGGATCTTTAACAGCACTTAAAACTCAGCATGTCCAAAACTGAATTAATTTCTGTTCTCCACAAAGTCATTCCTCTGCCTGTGTTCCTGGTTCCCAGTAATAGACGTCACCATACACCTACTTTCCACAGGTAGAAAACTGAGTCATCTTCAACTCCTTTTTTTCCCTTCTAAGTTCCAACTCAAAAATAATTTTGCCTCTTTTGCCTTTCATCACATGATCATCACATCCCATCAGCTTTTTTTTTTCTCTCTGTCTCTTTTTGTGAGAGAGTTTTGTTCTGTCACCCAGGCTGGAGTGTAGAGGAGCAATCACAGCTCACTACAGCCTTGACTTCCCGAGTTCAAGCCATGCTCCCACCTCTGCCTCCAGAGTATCTGGGACCACAGAAGCATACCACCACACCTGGCTAATTTTTGTATTTTTTGTAGAGATGGCGGTCTCATTATGTTGCCCAAGCTAGTCTCAAAGTACTAGGCTCAAGCAATCAGCCCGCCTCGGCTTCCCAAAATGCTGGGATTACAGGCACAGGCCACTGTGCCCGGCCCTCATCAAGTTTTTAAAATCTAAATAATAGATAATAATGTTTTCTGACAGTTCTCTCTGCCACCACTTTTGCTGACTCCATTCTAGATGGGATCCTCCCAAAAGAAAACTTGGATGGCATCCTTGTGTCAGTTAGAAGCTCCGTGGATTCCACGTAGCTACTGACGGGAGTCAGACACCTTAGAGTGGCCCAAAAGCTTCTTCTGAGTCCAACTGCACCTTATCTCCTCAGGCTCATTCTTGGCCCCTCTCCTTCCTAATCTCAACCTTCTCTCCCTGGATCCTTATATCTAATGGGCACTTGATGATTTTTCCTTTTTCCCATTTCTTGCCTTTATTCCTTCTTTTTTGTTCTCTTATCATTATCCCAGTCCAGCCTTTAGTCTATTACATCTGGACTATTCCAAGAGCCTCCTAACAGGGGCTTCCCATCTTTCTTTAGTCCACACTATACTGTCCAACCGAATTAAATTACTTGAAAAATCCCAGCCAAATTCAGTGACTCACGCCTGTAATCGCAGCACTTTGGGAGGCCAAGGTGGGCAGATCACTGGAGCCCGGGACTTTGAGACTAGCCTGGGCAACATGGTGAAACCCCATCTCTACAAAAAATTAGCTGGGTGTGGTGGCATGCACCTGTAGTCCTTGCTACTCGGGAGGCTGAGGCAGGAGGATCACTAGAGCCTAGGAGGTCGAGGCTGCAGTGGAGCTGTGATCGCACCACTGCACTCCAGCCTGGGCAACAGGGCAAGACTCTGTCTTAAAAAGAAAAAAAGGCAAACAGCATTTATCTTGATTAAAAAAAACTTTAAAAAGCGAAAAAAAAGATTCTTCCTACAGAGGTCTCTATTAGCAACGAATACAGTTCCCGCTTCTCATCCCAGCTTTCATGACCCTCATAATCATGCTGCTTCTTCATATTTGAGCTTCATCTTTCAGTGACTTCCATGGGCACCCTTCATTCCTAACAACCAAGTACGCTGCACTCCGTGAACACCACTAGGCCTTTCCATTCCATGTCTTTCTCTATTCCCCACACTTAGAACGCTGCCTCGCCCTATCTGCCCAGACTATGGTCTTCACTTTCCTGCCACCTGTATCCACAGGCAGCTTTCCATTGGGCCTCAAGCCAGAAATGAGCCCTTTCTTGTTCCTGTAAAGTCTCATAGCTCTTAATTTACCTTGTACTTTCGGGATTTATCATCACTTGCCTTACCCTGTGGTCATCTAGATTCAAAAGTCATGTTTTCTTACATGTTTATCTTTGCATGTAACACAGTGCCTCCGGTATTATGGATGTAAAATTCTTAGATAAATTGTTAGAGAAATACTTGCTGGGTGAAATACACTTATATACTTATACTTTGAATGTAATATATTTAAAATATACTTATATTTTGAGATCACTTTCACATCTATTACCACAGCACAACAATTACCGGAAGAGGCAGAACAGATATTATTGTCTCTGTAAAACTGGGGCCAGAAAGGTCAAGGAACTTTCCTTACATCACCCTGGAAGCTCAGGCAGATGAACAAACTCACTTCCTGCTTCTGGTGCTTCACTGGGGCTTTTTCTGCTCAACTCAACTCTCATGGGTCTGAGTCTATCCTGGGCCTTTTCTGGTCCCAAAGCAACTTGCATCACCCTCATTTTCCACTTCGCCTTGCAGCCCCCACTCCTGTTGGTTTGAAAACACAGCTTCCTGCCTATCTCTCCCCACCCTCTGTGAAATCTGTCTCAGGCACACAGGGAGAAGCAAGGAGCTAATGTTCAGGCAATGTGCTGCCCTCCTGTGATGAAAGGTGCAATCTCCATCACTCCCTGAGACACAGCATCCCTGCGTCTGTTTTGAAGCAGACCTGTGCCTTTGCAGCTGCTTCCCGTGAACAGCAAAGCCGTTATCCCGGCCCACTGTTCTCTTCATCTGACACTCTCTTAAATATGTCATTTTTCTCATTTTCATTAATAATGCTTTTTTAACACCTGATCAGCCTCACTGTCTGCTCTAGGTTAAGGCCTATTATTCCATTAGAGTTTGACATTTGAAATGCAATGAGGCATTCATGCACAGGTAGAGCTAATGGGGAAAATGGCTTGAGTCAGGGCTTTATGTACCAGGCAGTTTGGAAAATGAGAGTGGTCAACAAGAAACAGAAGCCTGCTTTTGTGCCAGCCACAGAGTTCTGGGTCCAAGACACACTGGGTCCCCTGTGATAGGTTCAGGACACAGATGTGACCTTTTCTGCCACTGGAGGATATCAGGCAGGCACGTCTCCCAGATTGTGCATCTAGAAGAACCTGGAGCAGGTGAAAGAAAATTAGGCAATAGACCTAATGACAAGTCGGTGGGCGTAGAGAAAATTAATTGAACTTTTCTGCCTTTCTCGACTCCTATTCTCCGATGTTCAGGGCAGCCAGTTATTACGGGGACCTCAGAAGATATTTACCGGCCTCTGGTGCTGCCACGTGCTTGCCTTTGTCAAATGAGTGAGTTGAATGTAACACTCAAGATTAGAGGGGCCAAAGAAGTTGAGAAATTCAGCCAGTGTGTGTCCCAGTTTCCCTTCCTAAACCTATCAAGTGAAAATAACCGCTTACATTTTGCTTACTTATTTATTCATCATTTACTCAACAAACACTTATTGAAGGCTTTCCGTGTAGACGCCGGGTATATCCCTGCCCTCACAGAATTTACAACACTTTTACTATTTCCCCACTTTTACTTTCATTCTGACTATAACTCTTCCATGTAAGAAGGGGAAATGCCATCTTCAGTTTTGAGACGCAGAGTGAATGAAATCTCAGTGGGCATGAAAACGTATGCTTGCAAGAAATACACCTTTCTCTAATTTGTTGTAGTAAACTTAACTCCAAATCTCCATCTCACCAGGCCGGAGGGAATTTCAGTCAGACATCCTGGCAATGGGTCTCCTCCTAAAGATGCACCAGAATTGAGAAGCCTTATGTGGTACCAGGAATGGCAGCAGGGACTATTAGTCCATTGTGACTACTGACGCTATCCTCATCTATCAAGCCCATTGTGATCCCTTGAGATATGGTGGCCTTCTGTGTCCATGCCACACATGGGGCCCAAGAATCTTTGCTTAGGGTGGGACCCCTGGCGCCTAGATTCTCACCTTCACAGGCTGACTACATGGCCATCCCCTCTGAGCTACTGCAGCCTTCTAGGGTGCTGCTCTGAAGCCAGGTGTGGATTCATGATTAAAGTGAGGCACCATAATTGCTGGAAGCCTCCCTCTCCCCTCTCCCTCCCTTTTCAAGAAAAAAAAAAAAAAAGCAAGTATAATCTTGTTTTTCAGTTTAGTTGTTCCAAACGAAGAAGGAGAAATTGGCTCCCAGAAGCTTCTATTTTTCACATACTTAAAAACCTCGGAATCTCTGATTCCAAGGCGTGCTAAGGCCCTAGCAACCTGCTTTCAAGGGAGAAGAAAAAATAGAGAACAAACATTAATTGGCAGTCGAATTAATTATCCTGCCACAGTGATGAAAAATCCAAAATGCCGGAAGAGGTAACATTCATCACCCTGAGCTTCTCCTCCAATCCTGGCCCCGGCACACACCCCAAATCCAATGGCAAGTGGGGGCTGCCTGCTGCTTGTGGCTGCCTCCCATCCGTCAGTAGATCCAGAGTCATGCAATAACATGGAACTGTGGGAAAGCTTCTGTAACTTACATAGATTAGCCACATGAGGAGAGAAGCACATCATCTAGCCATTGTCCCCCAACACCACCCCTGCCAGCAAAATAACTTCACTCCTACTCCTATCAGACCGGAGCTCACCATGACCTGAACCCTACCCACATCTCAGCTCTTCCCTTGCCTTATTTTCCTGCATCTCATCTCTCACGGGAAAAAGCATCCATTCTTTTTCCTTCCAATCTCCAGCCCCACCCACTTCTGATGAGTCTCAGTCCTCCCTAGGGCAACTATATGAGATGCTCAGTGTGAGAGGCCATGGAATCCTCCTGAGCACCCCTACTGCAGGCACTTGTAACCCCGGCTCCCTGTATGCAAAATGCTTCAAAAGGGAATGAGCATGACAGGAGGCAAGGAGAAAATACGGGCAAAGCCCATGCCAAATTTCCAGGCTGGAGGAAAGCTGTGAGAGCCTACGGTAGTTGAAAACCCATTTTAAAAGGTTGAATTGGTTGATTGACTAATGGATCGATTCAGTGACTTTATTCAAAAATTGTATAAGCTTGGCCATGTGCTTACCACTGTGGGGTCACCTCTGAAGGAGACAAAAAGCATAACACAAGTTTTTAGTCTTCAAAGGGGTTCCACTTAATATGGGAGAAAGGCTATACACACATATAGCTAAATGCCAAAAATAATAAAGACAACAGCTAATATAAATTGAACACTTATAAAATGCTGAGTGGTGAGGCCGGGTACGGTGGCTCATGCCTGTAATCCTAGCACTTTGGGAGTCCGAGGCGGGGGTGGATCACCTGAGGTCAGCAGTTCAAGACCAGCCTGGCCAACATAGTGAAACCCCATCTCTACTAAAAATACAAAAACTTAGCCAGGCGTGGTGGTGGTCACCTGTAGTCCCAGCTATTTGGGAGGCTGAGGCAGGAGAATCGCCTGAACCCGGGAGGCAGAGGTTGCAGTGAGCCAAGATCATGCCACTGCACTCCAGCCTGGGTGACAAGAGCAAGACTCCATCTCAAAAATAAAAAATAAAATGCTGAGTGCTGCACTAAATATTGCTATGCAAAAGTAATATTTCATTTATTCATCAAACATCCTTATATGGTAGGTATCAACATGCACCCCATTTGCATATGGGAAAACTGAGGCAAAAAGTTTTTTTTTTTTACTCAACCAAAATTCTATATATAATAGTCTAAATTGACAAGGACAATTTATAACAGTTCATTATACTTTTGTTTCTGATAGTAAAAAGGTAGAAATTATATAACTGTCCAAAATTAAATGAATGTTAAATTAACTATGACAGCCATACAACAGAATATTGTATAGCCATTACACTCATGTATTAAAAAAATAAAATTGTACAGAAAAATTTTTATCATAAATGTTAACTTAAAAAGAACAGAATACAAAATGTGTATTAGAGAAAGCGGGAGGGACAGGGAGTGAAGGAGGAGGGAGAGACAAAAGGAGGGAAGGAGGAAAAGAGATCAGAAGAGGCCGGACACCGTGGCTCACGCCTGTAATTCCAGCACTTTGGGAGGCTGAGGCGGGTGCATCACGAGGTCAGGAGTTCGAGACCAGCCTCGCAAAGATGGTGAAACACCGTCTCTACTAAAAATACAAAAATTCGCCAGGCGCAGTGGCAGGCGCCTGTAATCCCAGTTACTCAGGAGGCTGAGGAGGAGAATCGCTTGAACCTGGGAGGTGGAGGTTGCAGTGAGCTGGGATTGTGCCACTGCACTCTAGCCTGGGTGACAGAGCAAGACTCTGTCTCAAAAGACAAACAAAAAACGAGATCAGAAGAAATATATTAAAATGCTAATAGAATGTCAAAACTTTTCAATCTGTCCATTTCAAATATGTGCGGCTAACTGCATGTCAATTAGAACTCAATGAAGTTGTTAAAAAATGTTAACAGAGCATTTCTGTGTGTTGGAATCATATATGATTTTAATTTTGTTATTCTCTTTATTATCAACATACTCTAACAGGATTATTCATTACTTTAATAATCATGGGAAATTACATGGTAATTTTGAAAAGAGTTTATGAAAAGGAGCTCTGGGAAGTAATATTGGAAAAAAAATTCTGATTTAATTGCTATGGGGTGAGACTGCTGTATATATTCCCCAGGTGATTCTAACATGCAGTGGGGGGTAGGAACCACAGACGTACACAGAGCACCTGGCCCAGCAGCTGGTCTGTAGTTGCTATTTGATAAATGGTGGCCATCACCACTATCACCGTCATCACTGTTGTTGTTATGCTCTTCAGCATTACTGGCATATTTACATTCTCATATTAAGTGAGAAAAAATGCCTAGGTGGAGCAGATGGCTCAGACATTGGCAGATTCATTGGAAACATCAAGGAGTAATCAGGTGTTGGAGCTGGTGATATTTTCCCGTGACAGACTCTGTCAGAGGCTTTCATTTTCCCAGGCCTGTGGGATTAGTAATGCAGAGCACTTCCAGACTATTAGTGTATAAAACTACTATGCAAAAACTTTTTACTAAAATTAACGATGCCAGGCCAGCCATAAAGAAATTCATCTCCCAAGTGACAAGCTCAGCAGAGCCGCACCAACTTCTGTAACAGACGTCTAGACAATTTGACTTTGAAATACATACCCTAAGCCTGAACAGCCTGAAGTTTCCCAGCCAGTGCCCAGCCAAAGTTCAAAACAAGAGACCGAGCAGGAATAGAGGATTTGAAGATTATAAATAAACTTATTCATAGGGAAAGCAGAAAGTATAGCAAGCTAAAAATTGATTGCCCAGAGAGGATGACTCATCAATGAGACTATAAAAGACCATCTTTCAGTGATCACACAGCAAGACAGTTCATTGTCCTTAAACATTCACTGCCTGTCACACCAGGCCTCCCACCAGCAGGCTGCAAAGCCCAGAAATGGCCTCGTTAAGCATTGTAGACATCCCCACCCAGCAAAGAAACAATCCATTTCTCCTCGACCTCTTTGAAGCCCCACATACCAGTGAATATATCTGAAATCGGTGCCCTAGATTCCTAGTGTGTCAGCCAGTTGAAAGGATTTGGCCGGGGTCAGTCTGACCTGCCTGATAATTTTAAGACATTACACGTTTGATTAAGCATTTTAGGGCTAACGATCTCAACAGGTGAATGAGGTCAGGGCAAGAGCAACCTGAGACAGTCTCCAACTGCTGAGGCACTGGGAAAGCCACTTTTCTTGCTTTCATTGTATCTTTTGAAGGGTCAAAACAACACAGAACAATCCAGCCAGGTCATTTATATAACTCTGCTTTCCTGCTACCTGCTTCTGCAGCATAGTAGGTGGATTTTCAGACACAAAATTTACCTCTAAGGCCTTGAGATTTACTGCAATGACAAATCTCTAAATGGTATTGACATTCTAGGATATCATGAACAGTACATTACTATGAGGAAAATCAACAGAGATGCCACTTATCCGACAAACATCTCCCAAGCCCTGGCTATGAAAAAAATCACTGGAGTTGGGAGGTAAGTCAGACATCAATCCTTTCATTAAGGATAAAGGCCTGGTGAGAGGTGATAGGGTGAGCTATGAGCCTAAGGAGATGGTTAGAAATGTCAAGGTCACACAGGAAGCACAGGTAAGTGGCTAAACTGTTACGATAAGGGACAGGGGCCAGGCATGGTGGCTCATGCCTGTAATCCCAGCACTTTGGGAGGCAGAGGCGGGTGGATCACCTGAGGTCAGGAGTTCGAGACCAGCCTGGACAACATGGTGAAACCCTGTCTCTACTAAAAATCCAAAAATTAGCCAGGCATGGTGGCGGGTGCCTGTAATCCCAGGTACTCAGGAGGCTGAGGCAGGAAAATCGCTTGAACCCGGGGGGCGGAGGTTGCAGTTAGCCAAAATGGTGCCATTGCACTCCAGCCTGGACAACAAGAGCAAAACCCTGTCTCAAAAAAAAAAAAAGATAAGGGAGAGATGACTTCCATTTGGTAGCGTGGGTAAGAAGAGACTTTAAGCAGTTGATGGTATATGAGCTGGGCCTTCAAAGATTGATAAAATGGAGGTCATGCAGGGATATTGAGGCCTTGAACCACAAAGAGGGTAGGGTCATTTCAGAGAGCCTGTACCAGCATGAGACCAGCAAAGCTTACATGAGGATCAGAAGAATGCCTACTAAAAGCTAGTGAAGGATTATAAGTAAGTTGCCAAACTAGTCTGAAAACCACCAGGGAGGAGCCAAGTTTGGGAAAAAGTCACACAATGTATGTACAAGTGATAGCAAGCATCAGTGTCCAATACACCTTCTGAGATACTGGCTGGCAAGGGCTGGTAAAGAAGGAAAGGGGGTGGTCAAATATATTCCAGCAGACTATGATGTGCACATTTTAAATAATGATATACATATGTATTTATCAACATGGAAAGGGTCCTCAATATATTAAGCGGAAAATAAAGAAGGTTAAAGAATGTTTTATACAAAATGTCATCTATGTGTATAGCAAGATGAACCCTACTCCACTAACCCATGTATGCAATAAATACCTCTTTTCTTCACCAGTTGGATCTAACTTTGAGCCTCCAATTTGGCAGAAAGTTTTATGTCAATCAATAACAGAGTGTCTTTCACATCCCTACAGCTGCACGATAATTTCAGAACTTTAAATGGTACACACAAAACAAAGTATGACCTCTACTCTTCAGCCCATCGTCCTCTCCACCAATCGTTGTCCATGCCTGCATCCTACTTGAAGTTCACCTGTGCCAAGCATGTAACAGGAAAACCCAAAATAGCAGTAGCTTGAACAACATGGGGATCTATCTATCTCGTACAAAACAAGTCTGTAGGTGAGCAACCGAGAGCTGATATGACATTTTCTGAAAAGGACCTTCTTTTTCTACCCCACCACCCTAGAACATGGCTTTCACTCTCAAAGTCAGCTCATGCCCCAAGGGAGCTGCTTGAGCTTCACCATCATACCCTCATTGCAGATCAGAAGGAAGATGACAGGCAGAAGAAAATTCTTCCTTGAAGTCCCATACAAAATAACCTTTTCTTTATTACATGGCTGCAAGGGAGTCTGGGAATTATCATCTTTATCCCAAGTAGGCATGTGCCCATCTAACATGAGGTTCTGTTACTAAGAATAAAGGAGAAATTAGATGTAGAGGTAAACAAGTAGCTCTCCCTGACACAGATGTATAAGGAGAGAAGAGAAGAGGGGTGACAGCGGATCCTTGATGGTCATCAACATTTGAGAGATAAGCAACGGACAAGGAACTCATGGAGGGACTGAGAAGACGCCATTATAGAAAGAGAAGACATTGTGGAAGATAAGGTGTCAAGAAGGGCAAGGGGGAAGGTTTTTAAGCTAGGGGGATGGCTAATAGCATAGGACAAAGCCAGAAAAAAATGATCATTAGAGATAATTCAATTGCCCAAAGAAAATAGACAATTGGAAAGCAAAACTTCGGGGACTATTTCTTTTGTTATACTCTGTCTGGGTACTCAGGATCACCCTAAAATCAATAGTTACATACATTCCATCTAAGGAATAGATGGCCCAAAGGGGCTATTCTGCCATATTAACGTATCAGATGAGGCCTCCATGTCTACTTATGCTCACAGGCCATAGCCACACAATTCTGGGGCATTCTTCATGGCTTTGCCTTAATTGCTCTTTGAATTCTCATGGTTTCAGGAGCACAAACACACTGATCTTCATATAAGAGATGATTAGACCAGACTCAGGAAGAAAGCCAAGCACCTATTCATAGTGCAGCATAATAAGAAAAATAACTAACATTTATTAAAACATGTATTACATGCCAGGCACCGTGCTAACCTCTCAATGAATATTAGCTCTGTGTTTGTGTGTGCATGTGCACGTGTGCATGTGTGCCT